>NC_000002.12:25994603-26146119 GCF_000001405.40 Homo sapiens | reverse complement strand
CCTATACTTTTCTTTATGTTGACTGATTTCGTATATACGGTTTTGGTAGATTGGAAACTTTGTATGTGTTTATATGTCCTCAGAACTGGAGGAATCTGCTATAAGGGGCCTTTTTGTTGGTGAACTTCCATGTGACAGAAGGACTTCCTAATCTTCTGCCTGAGTACATGTATTTGGCTGCTAAAATTCTGGGAAAGGGAAGGAAGAATGAAGGAAAGAAGCTTAGGAGCCCATTATTCAAGACAGGCGTCCACTTCATTCCTTGTTTTTGATACTATGACTCACCTCCACCTCTCTCTGGGCCTGGTGGCCTCACATCTGAAGCCTCTATAGTTTCATTTCTGCAAATAATAAGGCTTGAAGAGGGGTGACAGCAACTCCTGGCTGTGAGGGGTGGGAAGGGACACTTGGGATCCGTTATTTCCTTGCTCCATTTTTAGCCCATTGCCATATGCCTCAGTTGTCCATGGTAACTGGTACCTATAAATCCTGGAACTCTTGGGATCCCATCAGAGAAAATATACCCACTTCTTATCGACATCCCCCTTTGAAAACAATGAGGTTGTAACTTATGCTCCACGTCAGTTAGCTCTGTTTTCCATCTTCCATTTTTTAAAGACTAATATTTACATACATAAAAATTTTAATTCTCACTTGCTGATGTCTCTTGCTCCCTAATTTTTATCTTTGTAGGTTTATACTTTTAAAATTCCGTGTCTGCCATGCTGGTGGGGGTAGGGAGAGATCATTTAATTTTGTGTGGCTATATATTACCCTAAAATCTTGATGGGCTTTTGAGAAATCTCTCATGGCACACTGAAGAAATGCAGTTTCCAGCATTGGTCACACGGTGGCGGAGCGACCCTACGTTTAATTTATAGTTTCTCCATGCAAGCCCCACTGCCAACCCCACAAGAGTTGGGGTATTGGAGTCCTGGCTAATCCAGCAAGGTGGACTACAGAATTGTAGAATATTTCCATTGAACTGTTGGAGAGCTTTCGAGTCCATCTCCTTTAGAGACAAGGAAATGATTCACAGGAGTCAACTAATGTATCCAATACCCGGAAGTAGTAAGAATAAATTTGAACTTTAAATTTTTTTTTTTTTTTTTGAGGCGGAGTCTCACTCTGTTGCCTAGGCTGGAGTGCAGTGGTGTGATCTCGGCTCACTGCAACCTCCGCTTCCCAGGATCAAGTGATTCTCCTGCCTCAGCCTCCTGAGTAGCTGGGATTACAGGCATGCGTTCCCATGCCTGGCTAATTTTTGTATTTTTAGTAGAGACGGGGTTTCACCATGTTGGTCAGGCTGGTCTCAAACTCCTGACATTGTGATCCTCCCACCTCAGCTTCCCAAAGTGCTGAGATTACAGGCATGAGCCACCAGGCCCCGCCTTTTTTCTTTTTCTTTCTTTCTTTTTTTTTTTTTGAGACAGTCTTGCTCTGTTGCCCAGGCTGGAGTGCAGTGGCATGATCTCGGCTTACTAATACCTATCTCAGGTTCAAGTGATTCTCCTGCCTCAGCCTCCCAAGTAGCTGGGATTACAGGCACGTGCCACCACACCAGGCTAATTTTTATATTTTTAGTAGATGCAGGGTTTCACCATGTTGGCCAGGCTTGTCTCAAACTCCTGACCTCAAGTGATCCACCAGACTCGGCCTCCCAAGTGCTGGGATTACAGGCGTGAGCCACTGTGCCCAGACTAAAAGTTATAATTGAAGTTGCCTTTGAATCAAGATGGGACTGTGAATGTATGGAAGTGGGGGTGGGGAAAAGGAGGCCGCTGCATCCCCTGCTTGAATGTGATGGGAGAGGGAAGCTGAAGGAACGTCACCGGTTCACTCACTGCATGTTCTGAGCACCTGCTGCGTGGACAGCAATGCAATAAGATTTGTGAAAACACAAAAAGGACTAGAGTCCCTGCCCACCACTCGCTCACAATCCATTAAAGAGATAAGCCAGTTAACCACAAACAAGGAAGTAGGCAATAAATGCCCAACGGAAAAGCAGGCCAAATGTATTCTTCTCGGGATTTAGAAGAGAAAGGCAACTGCTCTGCTCAGAAGTGGGGAATATACCTGCTGGTGGGATTCGGGCTGGCCTTGGGAAAATAGCATAGGGCCACCTTTCTCAAATTGTAATTTGTGTGAGACTCCTCTGGGGCTTTTGTGTAATCATAGATGTGAATTGTGCAGAGCAGCTGCAGTTCTCAGAAGCTCCCAGGTGATTCCCATGCAGGTGATCTGAAGAACACACTTTGAGTAGCAAGGGTATGGGAACTGGTTCATGAACTTGGCTGCACATGGGAATCACATAGGAAGTTAAAAACGAACAAAAAGCCACTATCATCTCAGGAATTCTGGGGTGCAACCTTGGCATTAGTTTGTTTGCTTATTGTGTAAAGAAAGTGTCTCACTATACCCTCAGGCTGGTCTTGAACCCCTGGCCTCAAGCAGTCCTCCCATCTCGGCTTCCCAAAGTGCTGGGACTCCAGGCATGAACCACTGCACAGAGCCAGTGCTTGTATTTCTAAAAGCACTCCCCTAATGTGCAGTAAAGTTTGCACACCACTGGCATAGTAGATATTTGTCACTCTTTTTGCCCATCCAGTTACCTAAATCCCCCATCTTAGAGTCAGAGGCCACCTCCCACTATTGAAGCTGAAAACAAGAGATTCTCCCTTTTCCCCACTTCCCTGGCACCTGGGGCAGGGGCATGTATTTTGGGCTTCACCAACCAATAACCATCCAGACTGTGAACAAGAAGCCACTGAAACAAAGCAGAATCCATACAGTATCCATCCACCTTTGCAGGAGTTTTGGCACTGGCGGCAGCCAGTTTTCAGAGGCAGCAGGGACAATTCTTGGGGCGTGATGTCTGTGTTGATCAGCAGTGACTACAGGGCCTTAGCAGACCAATTCTTTTAAGTCTAATTTTGAGCACTGGTCTTGATGCACAATCTTTTTTGTTGTTGTTTTGGAGGGCACACCCGGATCTTGGTGCACAGCCTTTAAGACTGGTTCTATGGTCTTAGAGACTAGGAGCTACCCAGTATAACCGTAGACACACACGTTCACAGCCCTTTAGGGCTAAACTTATAATACATTTTTTTTTTTCGAGATGGGGGTCTCACTTTATCAACCAGGCTGGAGTGTGGAGTGGAGTGCAGTGGTGTAATCTTGGCTAACTATAGCCTCAACCTCCAGGACTCAACTGATCCTCCCACCTCAGTCTCCCAGGCAGCTGAGACCACAGATGCACACCACCATGCCTGGCTAATTTTTGTTATTTTTTGTAGAGACAGATTTTCGTCATGTTGCCCAGGCTGGTCTAGAACTATTGAGCTCAGGCAATCCACCCACCTCAGCCTCCCAAAGTGCTGAGATTACAGGCATGAGCCACCACGCCCAGCCCTTATAATACAAATTTTAAAACTTAATAAAACAAATGGGTAGATTAATAAATTGTTATAAGGCAAACCCCCTTGCAACCAATATCCATGTGAAAAGATTTTGCTATCCTAGGAACCCTCTGCTAAGAATATCCCTATCCTGGCCGGGCACAGTGGCTCCCGCCTGTAATCCCAGCACTTTGGGAGGCTGAGTGGGAGGCCGATTACCTGAGGTCAGGAGTTCGAGACCAGTCCGGGCAACATGGTGAAATGTCATCGCTGCTAAAAATATAAAAATTAGCCAGGCGTGGTGGTGGGTGCCTGTAATCCCAGCTACTGGGGAGGCTGAGGCATGAGAATCACTTGAAACTGGGAGGCAGAAGTTGCAGTGAGCCGAGATCATGCCATTGCACTCCAGCCTGGGTGACAGGGCGAGACTCTGTCTCAAAATAGTAATAATAATAATATCCCTATCCTGACTTCTAGGATAATGATTTTCTTAATTTACATTAGTATATTATGCTGTACTTTCCTAAACGCACTATAGTTCAGCTTTGCCTGCTTTTCTCTCTCTACCTATTGAAATTGAATTTTGAAGAGGCTGAAGCAATTGTCCTGTAAAGTTTACGGTCTGGATTTTGTTGATTGATTTAGTATAACATGTTCTGTGCTCGTTTTTCCTATAAATTAGCAGTTGGCTCTAAACTACAGATCTGATCTTTTGATCAGGCATGGCCTCCTCATAAGCATGGTGCTCTTGGTCAGAAGGAACATAAATGTCTGTTTTGTTGGATCTTTTTGTGATGTTAGTAGCCATCGACCGTTGCCTAGATCCATGAATTCATCAGAGGTTGTGAGATAAGACTCTATTACTTCTTCTTTTTGGTTGTTGTTGGAATACTTCTGTACAGAGAAACTTCATCTTGTTGACTATTCAGTTACGCAGTGGTATAGTTCATATAAGGAAGGTAAGATTAATTATTGATTCTTTTACTTACCACCAGAGGAGTTGTAGGGGGAGGGAAGAGCTATTTCCCTGGCATTCTCCAATAGTGACCAATTAGGGGTGTGTGCATGTGTGTTTGGTATCATCATAAACTCATGGATTTACACATATTCAACAGGTTCAGACTGTCCCATCTTTAGCCAGAGTGAGCATCTTCAAGTTAACTCCCAAGCCATCTTGATAACATCCCTAGATTTTGAGTTTGAGATCTGATGTAATCAGCTATTTCAGGCTCATTTTACCCCTTTCCTGACACAAACTTGGAATCTGCCATTTCAAGAAGCCCTGGTTTCAGAGGAGGGAGGGTGCACAGTCTCAGCCCAGAGCTTCAAAACAGCCCGGCGGCCTTGCCTCGCACCCCAGCCGGTCCATCGGTCCAGCAGCCTGCGTAGCGGCCAGCGCCGGCACATCCCGCTCTGGGCTTTAAACGTGACCCCTCGCCTCGCCCTGCCCTATGAAAATGTTGGTGCTTCTTACTTTCACCGTCGCCTTCCACATCACCTCTGCGGCCTTGCTGTTCATCGCCACCATCGACAATGCCTGGTGGGTAGGAAATGAGTTTTTTGCAGATGTCTGGAGAATATGTACCAAAAACACGAAGTGTACAGTAATCAATGACAGCTTTAAAGAGTACTCCATGGGCCGGGCGCGGTGGCTCACCCCTGTAATCCCAGCACTTTGGGAGGCCGAGGCATGCGGATTATGAGGTCAGGAGATAGAGACCAGCCTAGCCAACATAATGAAACTCCGTCTCTACTAAAAATACAAAAATTAGCCGGGCGTGGTGGTGCGTGCCTGTAATCCCAGCTACTCAGGAGGCTTGAGGCAGGAGAATCGCTTGAACCAGGGATTTGGAGGTTGCATTGAGCCAAGATTGCGCCACAGCACTCCAGCCTGGCGACAGAGCGAGACTCCGTCTCAAAAAAAAGAAAAAAAAAAAAGAGTACCCCACTCCGCGGCCGGGCATGGTAGCTCACGCCTTGTAATCCTAGCACTTTGGTAGGCTGAGGCGGGGGGTTCACCTGAGGTCGGGAGTTTGAGACCAGCCTCACCAACATGGAGAAACCCCATCTCTACTAAAAATACAAAATTAGTCGGGTGTGGTGGCACACACCTGTAGTCCCAGCTACTCGGGAGGCTGAGGCAGGAGAATCGCTTGAACCCGAGAGGCGGAGGTTGCAGTGAGCCGAGATCGCGCCACTGCACTCCAGCCTGGGCAACAAGAGCGAAACTCGTCTCAAAAAAAAAAAAAAAAAAAAAAAAAAAAAAAAAGTACACCATGCTACAATGTCATATCTGTGCCTCATGATTGCAGCCTCCATTTATACAGACAGGCGCGATGAAACAACGGATTTCTATTACCTGACCAAAGAAGGCAGCTATGGCTACTCCTACATCCTGGCGTGGGTGGCCTTCGCCTTCACCTTCATCAGCAGCATGATGTACCTGATAACTGAGGAAGCCGAATAGAGTTCCAGAGCTGGGTTGCTTTTGCTGCAGTATAAAATCCACATTCAGACAACCATTTTGTATATAATCTTTTTTTTTTTTAGGTTTTTCTAGCAAATGAATTGTTTCCTTTAAAAGTAAAAAAGAAAAAAAAAAAAAGCCCTGTTTCTTAAAGTGGGAGAAGGGACTTTCTTAGAGCCTACTGTAGTACTGTAATAACCTTCAGTTTATTGTGGGTCTCTCTTGCTCACTTGCTATTGGTAGTGTGCACACCCCTTCCAGTTCCAGCCACTGCTCTCAAGCTGGCTTGCAGCCTTCAAGTACCTGCTGGCTATCTGGAGCTCCCAGACCAATCAGATGCCCCATTGCTTCCCTTTGCTTTCTTCTGCGCGAGATGCTGAGGGGTAATATAAAGCAGAAACAGTAGTAAATGAAGTATACTTCGAGGGTATTACTCTTTGTTAGAAGGTGCCAAGGTTGGGCTAAATGGTCACACAACCACTCCAGACTCTTCCTGCTGTCTCTGCCACCTGTTCATTACCCCAGGCCCTCCTGAGAACTGTGATAAGGTGAAGTGAACACAGGAGGGACAGTGGTGTTGGCCTGGTTTCAAAATCCGACTCCAGCACCAACTGGCTGTGCAACCTTAAGCAAATGACTTAATCTGAGGCCGTTTCTTCTTGGGTACTAATTCACAAGGACGTTGAAGACCTAACCCAAAGTACCTAGAGCAGTGCCAAAAAAGCACCTAGCAGGCTCACCAGAAATACACCGCGCCCCCATTCACACACTACCTTTGCCTTCAACCCTGCATTTCCCTCTGCCATTTTAGCCCGGTCTTATTGAAACCCTGATTAACACGACTTCCCATGTGACCTCTAGAACCCTTGTTTCTCCTATTCAAATCCATCTAAACTTGCTTTCCACAAACACACTGCTCTCGCCACTCTCGAGTTTACCATGACTCCCCAGGGCCTGTCATTGTCTAGTCTCTGTGGTCTCTTCTTACAATGACCTCCCCATCTGCCCTAGCCAGTGAATCGACATTTCGAAGAACCAATTAATGTCCCTCCTCCCCCCAAAAGCAATCCCATTCTCACCAACTGAACTTGATATATTAATACAGCAATTAAAATCCAGATTACAATTATTTGGCTCTTGTATATGCTTAACTTGATGAATTACTTTTGTTTTCTAAACTAGACCATCGATTTAAGGGGGGAGACCATATCCTATTTCCCTACACCAATCTTGTTTGTTTTTTTTTTTTTTTTTTTTTTTTTTGAGACAGAGTCTTGTTCTGTCACCCAGGCTGGAGTGCAGTGGCATGATTTCGGCTCACTGCAACCTCTGCCTCCCGGATTCAAGCGATTCTCCTGCCTCAGCCTCCCAAGTAGTTGGGATTACAGGCATGTGTCACCATGCCCGGCTAATTTTTGTATTTTTAGTAGAGACAGGGTTTCACCATGTTGGCCAGGCTGGTCTCGAAGTCCTGACCTCAGGTGATCCACCCGCCTTGGCCTTCCAAAGTGTTGGGATTATAGGCGTGAGCCACTGCACCCAGCAAAGGCAGAATTGTAGGTCCCAACAAAACAAGTATGTTGGGGGGAAGGAATAGAACATTAAAAACACTCCATGTGATTCTTAAAATCACTGCATCTGAGAAAAACTCTACATATACTTTCAGCAGAGACAATCTTGTCAACAAATATTTATCTTTATTATTGACTAATAAAGCCTGAATATAGGATCAAACATTTCTTTTCCCTACACATAAAGACAAGGCTGTTGCTATGTATAACAAAAGCAGGAAATACTGTTTTTTGTTTTTTTTTTTTTGAGAAGGAGTCTTGCTCTATAGCCCAGGCTGGAGTGCTGTGGTGCGATCTCGGCTCACTGCAACCTCTGCCTCCTGGGTTCAAGTGATTCTCCTGCCTCAGCCTCCCAAGTAGCTGGGATTACAGGTATGCGCCACCACGCCCGGCTTTTAGTATTTTTAGTAGAGACGGGGTTTCATCATGTTGGCCAGGCTGGTCTTGAACTCCTGACCTCAGGTGATCCACCCGCCTCGGCCTCCCAAAGTGCTGGGATTACAGGCGTGAGCCACAGCGCCCAGCCAATACTTTTTTTTTTTTTTTTTTTTTTTTGAGACGGAGTCTTGCTCTGTCGCCCAGGCTGGAGTGCAGTGGCGCTATCTCGGCTCACTGCAGCCTCCTCCTCCTCCTCCCGGGTTCACGCCATTCTCCTGCCTCAGCCTCCCGAGTAGCTGGGACTACAGGCGCCCGCCACCACGCCCGGCTAATTTTTTTGTATTTTTAATAGAGACGGGGTTTTACCACGTTAGCCAGGATGGTCTCCATCTCCTGACTTCGTGATCCGTCCGCCTTGACCTCCCAAAGTGCTGGGATTACAGGCATGAGCCACCGCACCTGGCCAATACTTTGTTTCTTAGTAAGAGGCCAGCTGCTGCTAAAACAAGGATTTACCCTCCAGTATGAGGAGCCCAGCTTGGTCCCCCTGAGGAATCAGGTGACCTCAGCTGTAGTGGCCTTAGGCACATCCAACTAGTGTAAGCCAGGTGTGATTAGGATCGTGGCATCTCCTATTTTGGCACAAGGATGATTCCGCTTTAGGATCCCAGAGATAATTCTATTTTTTAATGTAGTTTCTCAGCAAAGACAGTTCTTGAAATTGCCTTTCCAGTTTTCCATAGGTTGACAGTGATTTCCCATTTTTGTCAACTCTTTGAGTTTGCGATTCCACATTTTTTTCAGAAGTAATCTTCCAATTCCATAAATAAATGAAAACCAAACCACACAGCTGGAAATCAAGTTTTGTTTTTATATGAACAGAAGTAGACCATCTAGAAATATTTCAGTTTATTTAAATTGTTAAGTAGAATATGAAACCGAATTTGTAGCTAGTACCAGAGAATGGACTTAACTGTTTGGTGTTTAATGAGAACAGCTTCTACACAGGATCCCAAGAGACTTACAGAAAAGGGGCAAAGCCCTAATATTAAGCAAATAAAACTCATGTTTCAAACAGATTATACAAAAATTGATTTATACTTCATTTCCCTTTTTTGATATTTAGAAAGTGCAGATTTAACAAAAGGTAGCCATATCCTTTCTATGTACAATGCCGATTATAATTATGCAAAACTGTCAGTCTGTTATCCAAAAATCCCAGTGTTTAGCTCTCCAACCTTAAGTCATGGAATTGAATAAGAATTAAAGAGGGTTAAAATAAAAAAGCTAATGCCACATTCCAGATAAAGGGAAGCAACAAATACATTAATCTAACAACAGTAGGTTTAACCTAAACTTTTCAAAAAGCTTAACATCATTTCATTATATTTTTAGTGGAAAATTAGGGATTATTTGGCAATGCTGCTTTTTACTAGTAGTAAACAATGATAAAGTCAAGTGTGGGAATAACCTAAGAATAACAACCAGTGAGGCATATAAAATTGTTTTTAGGGCACTATCTGAAAAATTTGTGGATTTTCATAGCAGATACGTCCCTATGTTGTTTGCTTATGTGAGCCAAGAGGTCATTAAAATGCTATTCACGACACAGAAAGACTTCTCAATGGAAGCTGCTGTCCTAAACTCAGCCTCTGCTAGAAATGAATCATGCTATTCACAATTCTTTCAACAAAGGTATCATCTTAGGATGCTAGCAGCATAGCAAACTTCACTTACCCTATCCTAATGATAAGCAATGAAGCAAAACTAGAAAAAATGCAGTGAAAAAAGGACAGGGTTAGAGATAGCTAAAGATCTTATCTTTACATGAAAAGCCTTTCGTTGTCCTTTTTCCAAACCCATGGTAATACAAGTTTTCCAAAAGGATGTAAAGACAGGACTTAAAATTAATAATATTCTAAAGTATTTCTGAATCTTAAGGTAAAGAAACTTAACACTGAAAAAGTGTTCTTCAGAGGCCAAATCTCAATACATTTGGCAAACATGTTAATAAAATTCACTCCTCCTTCCTGCTTTTCCTTTTTTAAAAAAACAACCTGTACTAGGCTACCAAGCTGCTAGAGGAGTTGCCAAAATGCAGACTACTCAAATTTAGGTTAAGAGATTTATTCTAGGAAAGTGAATAGGCTATACACCTAATTAGAAAGACAAACCACAACACCCTCCAAACACTAGTGCATGCAGTTAACTCTTCCATTTCATAAACTCAATGGATAGACAGGAAGGGAACAAAGAGAGGAGGAAAAGCAGAACATAGAAGTAAAACAGCAAATGAAGGCATCTGGGACACATTTTAGGGAAGAGAGCAAATGAGGGGGGAAGACACCAATTAACTGACATTGGATAGTAGGCAGTTAGAACTTATCTTTCCGTTTACCTAGCAAGTTACATCAGTGCTTTATATTAAACTTGACAAACCTACTAGTTTGTCCCTTTCACTCTTAAATATACCATGAGGTGGTTGGGGAGGGAGAAGCAAATAAAGCAGCATGCAGGGAGACGCAAGGAAGAAGTGGCCAAGGAGAAGAAATGGTGGCAGGAATAGTTTTAAATATCAAGGCCACTTAAAACAAGACTCAGCAAACCAAAGCTATCACTTCTGCATTACCCTTTGTCCTCAATTAACTACTTTGAAAATTACAGCCAAGCAAACCACAAACATTTTAATGGTTTATGTTTGGATGATATGTCTCCTGCACATGCTTCCACCAGAACAAAAAAGGAAAACCAAAGAAGTTCCTTTCCACATAAGGCACAGGACAAAATTAATCCCATTTACATATTCAAGGCGAAAATGAGTGTTTTCCTGGCTTTTGTTTGTTTCTTTTGCTATCACATGTCTATAGATTATAGGGACTCAAGCACATTATCCATGACAGAAAATTCCACTGTTGTACAAAATAAAATTGTTAATTCTAACTTTATTCTTATACAATTTGCAGAATAGATTTGAAATGATTGCTATAGGTTTTAATGTTGATAAGAACTGGACTATAATACAACTGAAATGCAGTTGAGCTGAGCAAGTACATTTAAAAATGAACTCACAGACATGATTTTTCTATACATTTTTTTGTTTGAAGAAAATTATGATAAAGTCAGCAAGCAGTCACAGATGAAAGAACAAATAAAATAGGTGGCTTGGATAGTTAAGATGAGAAACAAAAATATCTGTTTAGAGTTAAAAATGGACAGAGTGGTTTATTTTGCAGCAAGAAGAGAAAACGGGGTAGTGGATGGCAACTGATGGAACAGGAGAATGCTCAGCAGCATTTGCTCTTCCAGCCTGTCACGCCTCCTCCACTGCTGATATCTACATTTTCACTGTTGGGCTCTTTTACAGGGGTCTGCAACAAACACACAAGGAAAATAACTCATGAAAAAACACTGCCATGGATAAAATCACGATTCAACAGGAATATTCTTATGTCAATTTATACAACAAAATACAACTACAATCACAGGAGATAGGTTTCCCCTCCGTGCAAAGTAAAGATTTGGAAGCTTTGTTTTGATTTTCTTTTTGCCTGCTTCCTCCAAGCTGTGAAATATTGTAGACATTTCCTGGCATGCCTTTATAAAGCTTCTGAAATCTTCTCAGCTCTAACTCTTAAATAGATTTTGTTATCTTCTAGCCCTGACCTCTGAATATGTTTAGTACTTAAAAGGCATTGTGGAGCAAGTTGTATGAAACCAGTGTTAGGTATATGTAACGTCACAGAAATAAAACTGCCCTTTTCTGTTATCTGCCTTTTTAGACCAATTTTATTACTGTATCATAGTTTTAAAAAGGCAACCTCAACTGATTAAGTGAAAAGGAGTGGAGCAAAATGTAGTTATCTAATTCATGTTAAAAATGGATATAGATGGCTGAGCACAGTGCCTCACGCCTGTAATCCCAGCACTTTCAGAGGCCAAGGTGAGAGGATCACTTGAGGCCAGGAGCTAAAACCACGTTGGGCAACACAGCAAGACCCCCATCTGTATAAAAAATTTAAAATATTAGCTGGACACAGTGGCTCAAGCCTGTAGTCCCAGCTACTCAGGAGGCTGAGGCAAGAGGATCACTTGAGCCCAGGAGTTCAAGGCTGCAGTGGGCTATGATCACTCCACTGCACTCCAGCCTGTGCAACAGACCAAGAGAGTAAGACTCCTCCCAACTCCTCTAAAAACACCGAAAAACCCCAAAGGAGATACAACAAAATACTAACAGTAGCAACCCTTAGGTGGTAAAATTATGGTTGATTTAATTTTATTCTTAGTATAATTCTGCTTTTTCCCAACACTAAATATTACTTTGAAAATCAGAAGGGCCGGGTGTCGTGGCTGAGGCCTGTAATCCCAGCACTTTGGGAGGCCGAGGCGGGTGGATCACCTGAGGTCAGGAGTTCGAGACCAGCCTGGCCAACATGCCAAAACCCTGTCTCTACTAAAATTACTAAAACTAGCTGGGTGTGGTGTTGCACGTCTGTAATCCCAGCTACTCGGGAGGCTGAGGCAGGAGAATCGCTTGAACTCGGGAGGCAGAGGTTGCAGTGAGTCAAGATCCCGCCACAGCACTCCAGCCTGGGCGACGGAGTGAGACTCCATCTCAAAAAATAAAAAGAAAAAGAAAAAGAAAAAAAAATCAGAATACAGTATTTTAAAAGGGTAGGCCCATTTTTATATATTAAAAATATTTTTAAAGTGATACCTTACATACAGAAAAGTACATAAAGCTTAAGTGTAAGCCTGATATATTTTTAGTATATATTGTCAAACTACCAGATCAGGATATAGAACATAATACTCCCAAGAAGGCTCCCTTGTGCCCCTTTCCTGCCAGTACTGCTCTCTTCAAGTTACCCAATATTCTGATTTCTATCATCTAAGATTAGTTTTTTTCTATTCCTAACCTTCATATACATGGAACCATAGTTGAATATATTCTTCTCTGTGGCTTCTTTCACTCAGTATCAGTCTTTGAGATTTATCGATGCTATTGTATAGAACAGTAGTTCATCACAACATTTTGAAAGCTAGGACGTACCTGAGAACTTATTCTCTCATGGAAACAATATAAAGTTAAGGGCTTTTGTAGCCCAAGAGGGAAAAAATTAAAATATTTTAAAAATATTTTAAAACCTCAAGTAGCCTAAGACAAGCCTAGTTAACTCATACTGAAGTGACACTGCTACTTGCCCTTAGAGCTCTCCTACTTACTCCCACTGCCTAATTGGGATTCTTCTCCTCCATGTATGTTAAAGCAGCAAATTATGCATTAAAAAGACCTCTGTGGGGTTTCCAGTACAAGTGACTTTGCTCCTAATACAGATCTTTGAGAAAAATGTAAAGAAGAAAAAGGGGCAGACCAGCATCCAGCAAGAAAAAAAAGTACAGTTGCACTGAAAATACTCTCTCTCTGGGAACTTCCAGGTATGAGTCAGGTTAAAGACAACCAGGGAGGCTCCTACAACTGATTTTCTTATCTTTTTAGAATTTAACTTAGATCCTTGAAACAGATTTAAAAAAAAGGGGGGGGGGTATCTCTTGCGGAGCAAAATCTTTTACAGCCAAAATATTTATTAAGTTGAAGTTGAGTTTTAATTAAGTTTATTAAAAGTTTTAGGCTGGCTCCTAGCTAAGAATAAGAAAA
This sequence comes from Homo sapiens, assembly GCF_000001405.40. Taxonomy (NCBI): domain Eukaryota; kingdom Metazoa; phylum Chordata; class Mammalia; order Primates; family Hominidae; genus Homo; species Homo sapiens. The sequence goes on along the minus strand of NC_000002.12, from coordinate 26,132,649 downwards.
GGCCAATAACCAAATAGAAAAATTGGGCAAAGGAATAAACAAACAAAAATACTACAGAAAAGGAAATGTAAAAGTGATTCTTAAACATATGTTTTCAGGTCACGCGTGGTGGCTCACGCCTGTAATCCCAGCACTTTGGGAGGCCAAGGTGGGCAGATCCCTGAGGTCAGGACTTCGAGACCAGTCTGGCCAATATGTTGAAACCCTGTCTCTAGTAAAAATATAAAAATTCGCCAGGCGTGGTGGCGGGCTCCTGTAATCCCCGCTACTTGGGAGGCTGAGGCAGGAGAATCTCTTGAACCTGGGAGGCAGAGGCTGCAGTGAGCCGAGATCATGCCACTGCACTCCAACCTGGGCAACAAGGGCAAAATTCCGTCTCAAAACAAACAAATGTTTTTAAATGCTCAGCCTTACTCAGAAATTACCTGCGAATTAAATCTACATTTTTTAACCTGTTAGACTGGGAAAGATCTGAGTCTTGTAAATCCACTGTGCTGACCAGGGTGTGAATAACACATATTCTCATATACTGCAAGTGGGTGTGTAAATGGGTATAACCCTCAGGACAGACTTTGGCTGTATTTATCAAAATTGCAAATGTACATACATGTACGCTCTTTGGCCAGTTCTCAGAATCTGTCCTTCAAATGTATGTGCGTGTGGAAAATAATTTAAATACAAGATTATGTACTACACACACAGTTAATGTGCACATAAGTTTGAAAATAATCTAAATGTCCCTCACTGGGAGACTTGTTCAATTATGATATAAACAATCAAAGGAATAGCATGTAATTATTTAAAAAGTAAAATTATTTTGCTTATAGTAAGTGAAATAAGCAAAGTGACAATCAGTGGAGTATGTTACCTCATCTGTTAAAAAGAAAAGGTTGTGGGGGTGGGGTGGGACAAAAATATATATTCATATTTACTCAGAGTAATAACTGATAAATTAATTACATCAGTTACCTGGGGAGTAAGGGGGAAATGAGGAATTGGTAACATTGAGGGAATTAAAGGGAACAAGGTGGGAAATTTCTGTATCCTTTTTTTTTCTCCTTTTAAAATGTTTGAAGCAAGAGAATGAATCATGTAGCCAAATAATTAAATTAAAAGATGTTTTAAATTGCTTTCATTTTAAGTTAATTCTAATGTGAAGGAAGTTTACATTTGCTGTTTTAACTCACAACTTCACCACATCTAAGTGTATGGATGTGTATGAAAAAAAATTGCTACCTAGTATTTGGGCCTGCTTACTTGGGGAAAACTCTAGACCAAGTTTGTCCAACCTGCAGCCTGCACACAGCCCAATACAACAAATTCGTAAACTTTGTTAAAACATGATGAGATTTGTTGTGTGTGATTTTTTTTTCTTTAGCGTACAAGCTATGGTTAGTATTAGTGTATTTTATATGTGGTCCAAGACAATTCTTCTTCTCCACTGTGGCCCAGGGAAGCCAAAAGATTGGACACCCCTGCAAGTCTAGACTGAGATCTTTATTTAATAGTATACTCATACTTTAACCTTTAATAATGATAATAAGGAAAGCTCTATCTCACTGGGGCACAAAATTATATATATAATGGCTATATAGCACTATTCAAAAAAAAAAAAAAAAGCCAAGACTGATGAGAAGATCAAAGGACATAGTATAGACAGAAAGTAAGCAGAAACCACGAAGACCAAAAAGCCCAGAAAGAGAAAGGACACAGAGACAAGAGCGTTTCACTAGGTCTTGCAGTAACTCCTGCCAGTCTTATCCTGGTCTTTAACTCGATTGTGAATACTGGATAATGTTTCATCCTGACCCATTAATGTCTGAAATACAAAGTACCTTCCACCAAGTTTAAAACAAGCATTTTTCTATTTCTTTTATTCCCTTCATTTAATTAAAAATACAATTTTTGGCACGTGGCTCACACCTGTAATTCCAACAATTCAGGAGGCCAGGGTGAGAGGATCACTTGAGGCCATGAGTTCAAGACCTGCCTGGACAAAACAGTGAGACACCCCCAATCTCTACCAAAAAATCTGAAAATTAGTGAGGGATGGTGATGTGTCCTCGTGGTCCTAGCTACTCAGAAAGCTGAAGCAGGAGGATGGCTTGAGCCCAGGAGTTCAAATCTAGCCTGGGCAACATAGTCAGACCCCATCAATTAAAAAAAAAAAAGAGAGAGACCAAGCCAGGCTTGATGGCATACCCCTGTGGTCCCAGCTACTAGTGTATCACTGGAGGCCAGGAATTTGAGGCTATGGCCAGCATGATCACACTTGCCAACAGCCACTACACTTCAGCCTGGGAAACACAGTGAGACCCTGTCACAAAAAGAAAAAAAAAAGGAAAGAAAGAAACACATTTTTTCCTAGTTGTATTCTTCTATTCTTTTGCTCTTCAAAAGAACAATAAATAATATAGATTTATTTTCTCAAGAAATTCTAATGGGTTTCACCTTAACTCAATTGTGAAAGACTATTCTTTCAAAAAAAATCTTAAAATTGTTTTTATAATTCAAAAAAGAAAGCTGTTGAAATTTCAAAACTAAACTGCCTATAGTCGGTAAATGAATCTGCCCTATGATCCGTCCCCCTTACCACCATCACTCTCTTGGAGTGCTATTTAGACTTTGGTATCTACCCTTCCAGTTCTCTAGTTGCTAAAAATAACAAAATGTATCTGCGTGTACATATGTATGTTTGGTATCATATAATCTTGAAAAATGAGATCACTTCACATATTATATCCTAATTTGCTTTTTATCACTCAATACACTATGGAGATCTTTTATACTTATTTTAATTGCTGTCAGCCTCTCTCATTCTCTGAAATAAAATTCAATTTTTGATCTGACTGGATTCTCATAGAAAAACATCTCCTAAAGCAGGAAATCCCAAAATATGATATGCAAGGAAGCTGGCAGACTCAAAAGGGCACCAATTTTTTAGTCCCATTGAAGAGCAATAACTGATGACTGTTTTTTCCAGTTTGAATATTCAATTGTAGTAAACAGATACCTACATTTCACTCTAAAAATTAGGTCCCTTAGTTTTAATGCCTCTATATAATTTACTTCAATGTAAATATCTCAACTCAATCTCTTATAATTGCTCAGAAATTTCACTAGATTTATATGTGACATACCACCTCTACTACAGCTAATGTCTCTGTCCTTCCAAAGTGGAGAAAGAAAACTGGTTGGTTAAGAAAATTTAAAAACAAACATCTACCTTTTATGTATAGGTTGGTTTTAGAAAAATATATTAATATTTCAAATATAAAAATAGAAAGGTTACCAAATGTAATTACATTTTCTCCTATACAACATCTGCTTCTCTTTTAGGATGTGTGTCAGATTTTTTTTTTTTTTTTTTTTTTTTTTTTTGAGATGGAGTCTTGGTCTGTCCCCAAGCTGGCATGCAGTGGCGTGATCTCGGCTCACTGCAACCTCTGACTCCCTGGTTCAAGGGATTCTTCTGCCTCAGCCTCCCAAGAAGCTGGGATTACAGGCACGTGCCACCACACCCAGCTAATTTTTGTATTTTTAGTACAGATGGGGTTTCACCGTGTTGGCCAGGATGGTCTCATCTCCTGACCTCGTGATCCACCCGCCTCAGCCTCCCAAAGTGCTGGGATTATAGACGTGAGCCACCGCGCCTGGCCAATGTATGTCAGATTTTATCTGTATTTATTTGCATTTAAAATTTCAACAGATTGAACAGAGAATTCAGGACTCATAACCAAATCCATGCATTATACCTATTCACTCGAGGGAAAATACGAAAATCCGATTTCCTAATTTGACTACATGTTACTTACACTAGCAAATATTGAGAGTCACAAATCTTAAACCCAGAAACAAACCTGAGGTAAAATATAAATTCCCCAAGATCACATTTTCAGCATTATTTATTTTCTTACATAATAGGTTTTATTCAGTACGTACAGAATATGTACACGCCCTTTATTTGCCTGAGAAGTGACTAATATGGCAGAATAGCAATTCTGTGGCAATAACTACTTAATAGATTCATTTCTTAAAATTTCCTAAATTATCTTTGAGAATGCAAAGTACTCATTAAGCGAAATGAGTCCAAGAGTAAAAAGGCTAGAAAAGACAAAAAGCTGGAAAAAATAATTGAACTAGGGACTAGACAGTGACTGTGGAGCTCAGAATATTAATGGTTACCACTGACTAGATCCTTCAGATTTCTAGATGGCTTTCTGTTTCCCCAGTTCCTTATAGCACAAGTCCCCAACCCCGGGGCTGTGGACTCTTACCGGTCCGTGGCCTGTTAAGAACGGGGCCACCCAGCAGGAGGTGAGCAGCAAGTGAGTGAGCATTATTACCTGAGCTCCGCCTCCCATCAGATCAGTGATAGCATTAGATTCTCATAGGAGTGCAAACCCCACTGTGAACTGCACATGCAAGGGATCTAGGTTGCGTGCTCCTTAGGAGGATCTAACGCCTGATGATCTGAGGTGGGGTAGTTTCTGGGTGAAACTACCCCCCAGTACGGTCCATGGAAAAATTATCTTCCATGAAACCAGTCCTTGGTGCCAAAAAGGCTGGGGACTGCTGCCCTACAGAAACAATACCACCCAAACTCAAATTCTGTATGTAAATCCAGTACTTCAGAATAGACAAAATATTCAACAGAGATACTCAGGTACCTGGCAGGATATAAAAACAGGAACTTACCTTTCGAAGGATATCTTCAGCTAACGTGAGGAACGCCTTTTCGATGTTTATATTTGCTTTTGCACTAGTCTCAAAAAACCTAATACCATGCTCCCTTGCAATCTAAAACAGAAACAAAATATCATCATAAAATTATCAAGCATGGGTTGCCAACTGCTGACTTTAACAGCTTAAATATTAATCTTATTCTGAAGGCAGTGGTCCCAACTAGAATATATAACACAGAATATTTCAGCAAGTCAAGCTCTTTCATAAAACAAACAAAAGAAAAGTAATCTCCTTACCCCAAAAGTTTATTTCAGATATTCTAAGTCAGATACTTCACACTGGGGGCAAACTTATGAGAAGCTCAACCTGACTCCTCAGGGTCTAATTTCTGCTCACCATAGGCTCCTGATTGTCACATTTTAGAACCATACTAATTGATACATTTCCTTAAAGTCCTAAGTTTAAAAACCGAGGATTAATGACTTATATTTTTCTCTCTTTGTAGTTTAAATAAGGCTAAAAATACTATGGGCACATTTGATTCTCCCATACATGTTAAATATGCACTGAAAAAAAATTCACTCAAATGATAAAATATTATTTCCAACAAGCATTTTAAAAACTATGTAATTAGCTTAGTGTGTTCGATCACTATTACTATAAAAATAATCAAAAGTAGCATTACCTTTACAAAGACAGAGCAGAGTATCAGTTTAATTCAGATTTTTACCTGTTCTCCTTTTCCTTTAGGTACAACTCTTTTGTCGTCCATATCACACTTGTTTCCTAGTAACATTCTTTCCACATCTTCATTGGCATGCTAAAATGAAATAAAATTTTACTTTTACATACTACCATGAATTACGGCTTAACAGTCTTTAAAAGTGACTTTATTCTCTCAATTTAGAGGGTCATTTCTATAGCTTTGAAGTTTTAAAGCAGTCACCCTAAAACTACTCCATACTAAAAGCCTACACAAATTCTTAGATTACCTAGCAAAAGAAACGCAATTCCCAAGACATATCCATGTCAAATACTATTTCCTCCCTAAAGGAGGCTGTCTACTTTCTAGGTATGTTCTTTCTTACCAAAAGAGAAGATACAAGCAAAGAAACTTGCATAATCTAAATCCAGGCTGGATCATTTCAGATTTTATAATGCATACTACCCTATAGAAGCCTTAATTAAACATTTTATAGAGCCTTAAACTCTCAAATAGCTGTGCTGCTATGGCACAAGGAGGTCCATGCAGAAAAATCAGTTAAAAACAAGTGGTTGTCCCCTTAAGATCCCAATGACAATTTTTGCAGAAATAGAAAGATCTATCCAAAAATTCATATGGAATCTAACATCAAAAGAATCTCTCTTTTTGAGACAGAGCCTTGCTCTGTTGCCCAGGCTGGAGTGCAGTGGTGTGATCTGGGCTTCCTGCAACTTTCGCCTCCCGAGTTCAAGCGATTCTCCTGCCTTAGCCTCTTGAGTAGCTGTGAGTAGCTGGGACTACAGGTGTGTGTACTACCATGCCAGCTAATTTTTGTAGTTTTCTGGTAGAGATGGGGGGTTTTGCCATGTTGGCCAGGCTGATCGCGAACTCCTGGCCTCAAGTGATCCACCCCCATCGGCCTCCCAAAGAGCTAGGATTACAGGCATGAGCCACTGAGCCCAGCCAAAATAATATTAGCTGGGGGAGTCAAATTTCAGAACTTACTGCAAATCAAAAAGTGTGGAACTGGCATAAAGACAGATACACAGACTAATGGAATGGAATAGAGAGCCCAGAAATAAATCCTCACATACTTAGTCAAATGACCCTCGACAAGGATGCCAAAATCAGTCAATAGGGAAAGGACAGTCTTTTCAATAAATAGCACTAGGAAAACCAGATATCCACATGCAAAACAATGAAGCTGGATCCTTATTTTAAACCATATAAAAAAATTAACTTGAACTAGATCAAAGACCTCAAACTATAAAACTCTTAGAAGAAAACATAGGGAAAAGCTTCAGGACACTGGATTTGGCAATGGTTTCTTTGACATGATACCAAAAGCACAGGCAATAAAAGAAAAAGTAGTTAAACTGTACTTCATCAAAGTTAAAAACTACTGTGCAACAAAGGACGCTATCAAGAGAATGAAAAGACTACCCACAAAAAGGAGGAAATATTTGTAAATCATGTATTTGAAAGGGAATAATACCTAGAATATATAAAAAACACCTAAAACTCCTAACAACAACAAAAAATGACAGCACTTTGGGAGGCTGTCAGGAAAATTGCCTGAGCCCAGGAGTTCGAGACTAGCCTGAGTAACACTGTGAGACCTCATCTCTACAAAAAATTTAAAAATTAGCCAGGCACGGTGGTGTGTGCCTGTAGTCCCAGCTACTTAGGAGGCTGTGGTAGGAGAATCACTTGAGCCTGGGAAGTTGAGGCTGCAGTGAGCCATGATCATCATGCCTCTGTACTCCAGCCTGGGGAACAGAGCAAGAACCTGTCTGGAAAAAATTTAAAAAAAAAAAAAAAAAAAAGCAAGCAAAGGATTTGAATAGACATTTCTTCAAAGAAGATATACAAACAAACAATATGCACATGAATAGATGCTCAATATCACTAAGATTAGGAAATGCAAATCAAAAACCACAATGAGAGATACCACTACATACCCATTAGTATGGCTACTATTAAAAAAACAGAAAACACATATTGGCGAGGATGTGGAGAAACCGACACCTTTGTGTACTGTTGGTAGGAATGTAAAATGGTGCAATCACTGTGGAAAAGTCTGGTGATTCCTCAAAAGGTTACACACAGAATTATCATATGATCCAGCAATTCCACTCATGGGTATACACGCAGAAGAATTTAAAGCAGGGACTCAGATATTTGTACACCAGTGTTCACAGCAACATTATTCACAATAGTAAAAGGGTGAAAACAACCCACATATCCAACAATGGGTGAATGAATAAACAGAACATGGCATATAAAAACAATGGAATATTATTCAGCCTCAAAAAATAAACAAGTTCTGACACATGCTACAATGTAGATGAACCTTGAAAACTTTATGTTAAATGAAGTAAATTACTTACAAATTGAACAAATACTATATGATTCCACTTATATGAGGTACCTATAACAGTCAAATTCATAGAAAATAGAATGGTGACAGTTGCCAGGAGATGGGGAAAGGGGGAGACAGAAATCATTGTTTAATGGATGCAAAGCTTGAGTTCAGAAAGATGAAAAAGTTCTGGAAATGGATGGTGGTGACGGTTGCACAACAGTAGAATGTACTTAACACCACTGAACTATACACCAAAATAATAGTTAAAATGAAAATTTCATGTTGTATGTATTTCACCACAATTTTAAAAAGTATTCAAAAACAACAATAGGCTGAGCACGGGGGCTCATGCCTGTAATCCCAACACTTTAAGAAGCTGAGGCAGGAGGAGCACTTGAGCCCAAGAGCTCAAGGCTGGAGTGAACTATTATCACTGCCACTGCACTCCAGCCAGGGCAACAAAGCAAGAACCTGTCTCAAAAAAAAAAAAAAAAAAAAAAAAAAAAGCAACAACAACAATAAGAAAAACAACAGCAACAAAACTGCCAAATGGCTGCGGTTACTTCATTTCCTGTAGCTATAAGAAAAAAAAAAACTAGGAAAGTTATAAAATATGCTGATTTAAAACAACATACAGTTGACCCTTGAACAATGGGGGTAAGGGTATACCATGTATAACTTTTACTCCCCAAACACTTAATTAGTAACAGCCTGATGCTAACCAGAAGTATTATCAGTAACAGTCGATTAACATATTTTATATATGTATTCTATACTGTATTCTTACCATAAAGTTAGAGAAAAGAAAATGTTATTAAGAAAATCATAAGGAAGAAAAATATATTTACTATTCATTAAGTGGAAGTGGATCATCATAAAGGTCTTCATCCTCAATGTCTTCAAATTGAGTAGGCTGAGGAGGAGAAAGAGGAGGGGGTTGGTCTTGCTGTCTCAGGGAAGGCAGAGGCAGAAGAGGTAGAGAAGGTGGAAGGGGAGGCAGGCACACTCAGTTTAACTTTACGGAAAAACATTGTAATTTCTTTTTTGCTTTTTCATTTCTTTAAAAATATTTCTATACAAAACCAATCCTTCTTTCATCATTTGCTTCAGTTTCAGTGCCTGTATCACACAATGGTCCATGTTGTACAGTAAGTCTAAAGCAGTCTTGAATAATCAGAACCCTTCTGCCAGATTGTCTACAGTCAATTTGTTTTCTGGCACTACTTCTTTGCCTTCTTCCTTATCGTCCAACGCTGGTTTGGAAGCACCGGCATCTTCATTAAATCATCTTCTGTTGATTCCTCTGGTTGATGTCTATTAGCTCTTGTCTTATCCACAGTCTCTTTCATAAATTCCTTGACTGGCTCTGCTACAAATCCTGTGAAATCATGCTCAACATCGGTACACAGTTTTCTCCAGCAGGAAGTTACTGTTTTGTGCTTGATGGCTTTCATGGCTTTTTCTATAACGATGGCATCTTCAGCGGTGTAATTCCTCCAGATTTTCATGATGTTCTATTGAGGTTAGAGTACCGTGTGTTATTAACCTTAAAGGTCCTCATGATCCCCTGATCTAGATGCTGAATTAGAGACTGTGTTCGGGGGCAAGTAGACCACTTCAATGTTTTCGGTGTTAAACTCATGGGGTTCTGGGTGGCCAGGGGCACTGTCCAACATCAAAAGAACTTTAAAGGGCTGTCCCATAATGGCAAGGTATTTCCTGATTTCAGGGACAAAGTATTGATGGAACCAATCCAGAAAAAGGATTCTCAGTGTTCAGGTCTTCTTGTTGAATGATCAAAAAACTGGCAGCTTCAAAAGACTTTTCCCTTCAGGTCTTGGGGGTTAGCAACTTTATACGTAAGGGCAGTCAGTCCTGATCATAAACCCAATTGCATTTGCACAGAACAGTAGTTAGCCTATCCCTTCCTGCCTTAATTCCCTGTGCTTTCTTCTTTTCCTAACACTCATGTCCTTTGTGGCCTGCCCCCCTCCCTGCCACCCCGAGAATAGGACACTTTTAACTGCATTAAAGACTTGTTCAGCGGTGCCCAGGAACTTGTCTGCTGTGTCTTAGTCAGCAGAAGCTGCTTCTCCTGTTAGCCTGCCATTTTTAGGCCAAGCCTCTTTCTAAAATTATCAAACCATTCTTTGCTGGCATTAACTCCTCTAGCTTCTCTTCCGTTTTGCTTTAAGTTGTCATATAATAACTTCACTTTTTCTTGAATATCATAGTCTACAAGTATGCCCTTTTTTTTTGTTTTTTTTTTTGAGACAGAGTCGCTCTGTCGCCCAGGCTGGAGTGCAGTGGTGTGATCTCAGCTCACTGCAAGCTCTGCCTCCCGGGTTCACACCATTCTCCTGCCTCAGCCTCCCGAGTGGCTGGGACTACAGGCGCCCGCCACCACGCCTGGCTAATTTTTTGTATTTTCAGTAGAGACGGGGTTTCAACGTGTTAGCCAGGATGGTCTCGATCTCCTGACCTCGTGATCTGCCCGCCTTGGCCTCCCAAAGTGCTGGGATTACAGGCGTGAGCCACCGCGCCCAGCCTACAAGTATGCCTTTCTTATAGCAATCCTGTACCCACATAAGAGCTGCATTTTCAACATGAGATAAAAAGGTATTCTGTAAAAAGTGCAAGGTTTCACACCTCCTGCTGTGGCTGCAGTGATGGCTTCACAAATTTTCTTTTATTTAAAATGGTCCTTATGCTGGATTAATTTATCTTGAAATAACGGGCAACCACAGCTGCAGACCTCATTCTACAGTACATATTAAGCAATTCAATTTTTTCTTGTAATGTCATGACTTTTCTGTTTCTCAGGATTGCTTCTGGCATCACTAGTGGCACTTTGTATAGGTCTGATGGTGTTATTCAAGGTTTATGGTATTGCACTAGACACGATGAAAACACGCAAGAACCACAAAAGACCTCTTTTGATTGCAATATGGGATTTACTGGAGACACAAACTGTTCACGGGGAGATGATCCACATCACATGGTGTTTTAAGCAGACACTTGGAAACATACGAGCTCACCAAAATAGCAACAGGAGGTGGCTACAAAATTATCACAGTAGTACAGTATGTATTAGTTATTTTTATGCAATTATGATTTAATACTGCATCTCTGTTACATTTCTCTTGATGCAAAAGGTGCCTTGTATGGGCTCTGTGTGTTTGAGTGTTAATAAATTTAAACTTTTAATAATAGATCTGTGTATGTTTTATGGTAGTAATAAAATAGACTAGTATCTACATATACTTTAGACATTCATAATATACTTAACTTTTTCTTAATTTCCCCCCCGCCCAATATTTCTAGGTTATGTGGCTTGTCTGTGAGTTTTTCAAGTTGTTGCAAGTCTCTAACATTTTTTCCAAAAGATTTGTTTTTAAAAACCTGTTTATAGAGCTGGGTGTGGTGGCACACACCTGTAATCCCAGCTTCTTGGGAGGCTGAGAAGGAAGAATCACTTGACCCCTGGAGTTTGAGACCAGCCTGGGCAACACTGCGAGTCCCCATCTCTTTAAACAAAAATATCCATGTGTAAGTGAACCTGCAGTTCAAGGGTCAATGACAGTTTAAAAGGGGGTAGACAAAGGTGGGATTAGGGAGGAAACAACTCTTTTGTTGCAAGGACGATACCCTTAGTAGAATCACAAGCTTAACAAAGAAAAATTATACCGCATGTGGTGGCTCACGCCTGTAAAGCCAGCACTTTGGGAGGCTGAGGTGGGTGGATCACATGAGGTCAGGGGTTCGAGACCAGCCTGGCCAATATGGCAAAACCCTGTCTCTACTAAAATTACTAAAATTAGCCGGGTGTGGCGATGCACGTCTGTAATCTCAGCTACTTGGGAGGCTGAGGCAGGACAATCACTTGAACCCAGGAGGTGGAGGTTGCAGTGAGCTGAGATGATACCACTGCACTCCAGCCTGGGTGACAGAGCAAGACTTTGTCTCGGGAAAAAAAAAATTATAATATACTATAAAGAAACTCGCTGGCTGGATGCGGTGGCTCATGCCTATAATCCCAGCATTTTGGGAGGCCGAGGCGGGCGGATCACGAGGTCAGGAGATTGAGACCATCCTGGCTAACACAGTGAAACCTCGTGTCTACTAAAAATACAAAAAATTAGCTGGGTGTGTTGATGGACGCCCTGTAGTCCCAGCTACTCAGGAGGCTGAGGCAGGAGAATGGTGTGAACCCGGGAGGTAGAGCTTGCAGTGAGCCAAGATAGCACCACTGCACTCCAGCCTGGGCAACAGAGCGAGACTCCGTCTCAAGAAAAAAAAAAAAGAAACTCCCTATTTAGGGATTCCATGGTCTTATCTGAATTTAGTGCCTCTTAATTTATGTTACTGCTAAAACAAAGGCAACTTGGCAAATATCCAGTAATAAGCAGCAATATACCAGGTGCTCCTAAAATCCTGCCATGTGCTAAAAGTAAGAGGCATTTTGATCTCAGAATCTAAGGATGGACTTCGGGGACATCAATAATTCCAAGGAGCACACATAAAACTTTGCAAGTTGTATAAGTACATCATTCTGGTAAGATTCTAATTTCTCAAAGGGGTCCATGATCCCAAAGAAGTACAGAAGCATGGTTTTAAAAGCTCCCAGCTGCTAAATGGACAAATTATCACAGTGACCTGTAATAATCTACCCACATCCTAAACACTGCAAGTTACCAGAGCCACTAACATGAACCTCCACTCAAAGAGAAGATAAATTATCTGTAGCTTTAGAAGTCACTGTTCTACTAAGAACACCTGTAAGTTAGGTGCAAGCAGGCTGATGGAACGAAGCCGAAGCCAATAAATAAATGATCAATGAAGTATAAAAAAGGGAAAATTACCTTATATATAAATTTATAAGTGTTAAGATATTTTCAGCCTGTTTTTTAAAAAAGCTTTAGCAATCAGACCACCAATTTACAACCTACTACACCTCCACGCCAACTCACATCAGTATTCTGGGGCTAGTGAGGAAATAGGTATAATTCTTTATACATGTGTACCATTTCAGAGCATAAATATAATTCTAGCTCAAAAATATATTTGAAAGTAAGCCTGCTGGGCACAGTGGCTCATGTGTATAATCCCAACATTCTGGGAAGCCAATGCAGGAAGATTGCTTGAGCCCAAGAATTTGAGGCCAGCCAGGGCAACACAGTAAGACCCCATCACCACAAAAATAAAAATTAGCCAGACATGATATAGCACGCTTGTGGTCCTAGGTACCTGGGAGGCTAGGCTGGGAGGATAGCTTGAGCTCAGGAGGTAGAGGCTGCAGTAAGCTGTGATTGTGCCACTGCACTCTAACCTGACAGAGTGAGACCCTGTCTTTAAAAAGAAAAAAAAAAAAGCAAAGCTAAGACCTGAAAAGACTTGGGATACACTTCTTTGAATAACAAAACACAAAAACTAAGACAAAGGTCAAAATAGTATTATACAACTCTTTTTAAAATTTATTTTTTTTTTGAGACAGGGTCTCGCTGTGTCACCCAGGCTGGAATGCACTGCTATAATCAGCTCACTACAGCCTTGATCTCCTGGGCTCAGGTGATCCTCCCACCTCAGCCTACCAAATAGCTGGGACTACAGGTACTCACCGCCATATCCGACTTTAAAAAATAAACTTTTTTAGTAGAGATGAGGTCTTGCTATGTTGCTCAAGCTGGTCTCGAACTCCTAAACTCAAGCAATCCTCCCACCTTGGATTCCCAAAGTGCTGGGATTACAGGTGTGAGCCACCGTGCACAGCCCTATACATCCTTACTTGGATGATCTTACTAACAATAAGCAGCAAGCATGATGAGGTTAAAGACTTCACTGCTGAGCCAGGGGACCAATAAAACAGCACTCAGAATACACAGAACTTCTCTCATACATTTTCTTATGCCAACATGCACATTAATCTTTTTTCAGTCGGATACGCATTGTGTTTACAACCACTTACGGCAAAAACACCCAAAGAAAGATTGGTAGTTGCACCACACAGACATATCCATAAAGAGACATGTTTATGCAGGAGGACACATATCTCTATGAATCACACATGCAGACTGTAACTAGCTTAAAATATGGTTAATTTTCCCAAGGTACTAATACAGAGAGGTGCATTTAGACCAAGGTTTCTCAACTTCGGCCATACAGACATTTTGGGTCAGCATTCTGGGTTAGCATTCTTCTTGTACCCAAGCTGTGATAACCAAAAATATCTCCACATATTGACAAATGTAAAACTGTCCTTGACTGAGAATCACAGATTTAGAGATCACTGTCTATCATTAAATAGAAACAACAAATACTTTAAAAGGATGTTGAAGTTTAATAATAATGAAACCATTCAGAAACCAATATATATTTCACAAATATAAGCCTCATAGTTGTTCTGATATTTGACTAGGTACATGAGAACCTGTTAATTCCCCACCCCCACCCCACCCCCGGCCTTTGTTTTTTTTTAAAGCACTTATTTGCCCGGGAGGTCTGGGCTACAGTGGGCTGTGTTCACACCACTGCACTCCAGCCTGGGAAACAGTGAAACCCGGTCTCAAAAAAAAGGGGGAGGAGGGGACGTTACTTTGTAAAAATTGGAGCTAAAAGAACATCTTTTTGGCCGGCGTGGTAGCTCACGCCTGTAATCCCAGCACTTTGGGTGGCTGAGGACGACGGACCATGAGGTCAGGAGTTCGAGACTGGCCTGACCAACATGGTGAAACCCCGTCTCTACTAAAATTACAAAAATTAGCCAGGCGTGGTGGCACACGCCTGTAATCCCAGCTACTCAGGAGGCTGAGGCAGGAGAACCACTTGAATCCGGGAGGTGGAGTTTGCAGTGAGCTGAGATTTGCGCCACTGCACTCCAGCCTGGGCAACAGAGCAAGACTCCGTCTCAAAAAAAAAGAACATCTTTTTATATCTATTAGAGAAATAATCTGAGACTTGGGTTTCCTAAGGATTTGTCCTTCCTAAGCTAAGTTATTTGGTCCAAAGTACGTTTCTCTAAATATCTCTATAGCCAAGGTAGTTATGTTCCCCAGTTACCCAAAGTAAATTAACATATATGATCTCTCTTAAATTGGAATCCACTGCACTTTTTTATCAGTCCCATCTTTATCTGGGTAACTTCTCATCTCCTCAGGTCTCAGTTTAAAGTCGCTCCTCTCACCTCCCAGGCTATGTTAGTTAGGTACTTGTTTTATTTACATGTTAACAACTTTGTACTTCCTAACTCTTTTGTTTTTTTTGTTTTTTTTTTTTTTTTGAGACGGAGTCTCGCTCTGTCGCCCAGTCTGGAGCGGAGTGCAGTGGCACGACCTTGGCTCACTGCAAGCTCCGCCTCCTGGGTTCACGCCATTCTCCTGCCTCAGCCTCCTGAGTAGCTGGGACTACAGGCACCCGCCACCATGCCCGGCTAATTTTTTTTCTTATTTTAGTAGAGACGGGGTTTCACCGTGTTAGCCAGGATGGTCTCAATCTTCTGACCTGGTGATCCGCCAGCCTCGGCCTCCCAAAGTGCTGGGATTACAAGCATGAGCCCCCCGCACCCGGACCTTCCCAACTCTTAACACTAAGTAGGGGATCATTTATGTTGTTTACGCTGCATCCCCAGCCTAGTTCAAAAACACTGATCCCAAGAGTTGTCCCTTGATGTAAAGTTTCACCTCAACAAGTTTCAAAACCTTCATATAATAACTCCCCCTCTTGGACATTCGCAACACACTAAAGCATATAAAAATTGAATAAAAATACCTATTTAACGTATTTGTCCACAGAATGTCATATGCCAAGTAATACTACTAAAAAGTAGAACACGCTTCAGAAAACACAGATTTAAGAGTATATAAATTCTTCTTATCTCTATTCCAAGGAACAGAAAACTTGTATTTGTCTCCTTTTGCTAAAGAAATACAAAGAGTGGCACAGTGGCACATGCCTGAAGTCCAGCTAACTCAGGAATTTGAGACCAGCCTCCTGGGCAACACAGCAAGACCCTCTCTCTTAAAAAAAGAAAAAGAAAAAAAAAAAGGCCGGGCGTGGTGGCTCACGCCTGTAATCCCAGCACTTTGGGAGGCCGAGGTGGGCAGATCATGAGGTCAGGAGATCGAGACCATCCTGGCTAACACGTTGAAACCCCATCTCTACTGAAAATACAAAAAATTAGCTGGGTGCGGTGGCGGGTGCCTGTAGTCCCAGCTACTCGGGAGGCTGAGGCAGGAGGATGGTGTGAACCCAGGAAGCAGAGCTTGCAGTGAGCTGAGACAGCGCCACTGCACTCCAGCCTGGGCGACAGAGCAAGACTGCGTCTCAAAAAAAAAAAAAAAAAAAAAAAAAACACAAGACAGAAAGAAAGAAAAGAAATACAGTCTCCATGGGGAATGGCTGATTGGTTCCAGGACCCTACTTCCTTTATCAAAATCCATGCATACTCAAGTCCTGCAGCCAGCCCTGTGAAACAGACATATACAAAGAAGGCTCCACACCAACCTATATTATATGTGAGTATCAAAATTCATATTTTCAATCTGCCTTTAGTTGAAAAAAATGTATATTAAGTGGACCTGTGAGTCAGGCATGGTGGCACATGCCTGTAGTCCTAGCTACCAGGAAGGCTGAGATGGGAGAATTATTGGAGCTCAGGGTTTTAACACCAGCCCGGGCAACATGGTGAGACACCCATCTCAAAAATATTTTTTAATTAAAAAATATTAACAACTGGTGGGGCGCAGTGGCTCATGCCTGTAATCCCAGCACTTTGGGAGGCCAAGACAGGTAGATCACGAAGTCAGGAGTTCAAGACCAGACCAGCCTGACCAAGATGGTGAAATCCCATCTCTACTAAAAAATACAAAAAAAATTAGCCGGGCGTGGCAGCATGCACCTGTAGTCCCAGCTACTCAGGAGGCTGAGGCAGAAGAATCACTTAAACCAGGGAGGCGGAGACTGCAGTGAGCCAAGATGGCGCCACTGCACTCCAGCCTGGGCGACAGAGCAAAACTCCGTCTCAAAAAAAAAAAAAAAAACAGTAATAACAACTCTACCTGTGTAGTTCAAACCCACATTGTTCAAGGGTCAACTGTAATTGTAAGGAAAGGTATTAAAGCTCAATTCAGTTTTTAAAAAAATAACAGTTTTGAGTTTATAATTTACATATCATAAAATTCACCCTGTAAAAATATACAATTCAGTGTTTTTTTAGTTATTTACGAGGCAGTTCAACTATCACCACTACTAACTTTATAATATTTTTATCACTCCCCTATAAACCTGTACTCATAGCAACCACTCTTTTCTCTCCAAACATCACCCCCAGCACCTGGCAATCATGAATCTACTTTCTGTCTCTATGTTTTTGTCAATTTGGGGCATTTTATTTAAAGGGAATCATGTAAGGCCTTTTATGTCTGGCTTCTTTCATAAGGTTTTCAAGGTTCACCCACACTGTACCAAGTATCAGTCCTTCATGCCTTTTAATGGCTGAGTGATGTTCCCTTATATGAATATACACATTTTATTTATCCATTCATCAGTTGATGGATGTTTGGGTTGTTTCTGGTTTTTTTTTTTGGCTATTGTGAACAATGCTGCTATAAATACTTGTGTACACCTTTTGTGGATATATATTGTTAATTCTCTTGGGTAAATACCTAAGAGTAGAACTGCTGGTCATAAGGTAACTGTATGTTTAACCATTTTGAGAACTGCCAAAATATCTTCCAAACCAGCTGCATCTTTCTACAATTCTACCAGCAATATATGAGGGTTACAATTTCTCTCCATCTTTGTGAACGCTTGTTAGAGTCTGTCCTCTTTTCTTCCATTCTGTGGGTTGGCTTTTTACTTTCTAAATGGTAGAACCTTCAAAGCACAAAGGTTTTAAATTTGATGTAGCCCAATTTATCCATTTCTTTTCTTTTGCCACTTCATGGCTTTAGATCTTACATGTAGGTCCATGATCCTTTTTGGTTTTTTTTCTTTTTTTGAGACAGAGTCTCACTCTGTTGCCCAGGCTGGAGTGTAGTAATGCAATCATGGTTCACTGCAGCCTCGACCTCCTGGGCTCAAGTGATCCCACCTCAGCCTCCCAGATAGCTGGAACTACAAGTGCATACCACCATACCCGACTAATTTTTTTTTTTTTTTTTTGTATATTTTTGTAGAGATGGGGTTTCACCATGTTGCCCAGGCTGGTCTCAAACTCCTGGGCTCCAGCGACCCACCCACCTTGGCCTCCCAAAATGTTGGGATTACAGGTGTGGGTCACCATACCCAACCTTTGTGGTCCATTTTGAGTTAACTTTTCTGTATGGTATGAAGTAGGTGTCTAACTTTCATTCTTCCACACAAGGATAGCCAGTTTTCCCAGCACCATTTGTTGGAAAGACTATTCTTTTGCCCATTGAATTGTCTAGCCATCTTGTTAAAAGTCAACTGACCATATATGTAAGAGTTTATTTTTAGACTCTCAATACTATTCAATCAATCTTTATGACTATCCTTATGTCAGTATCACAGTGTTTTGATTATTGTGGCTTTGCGGTTAAGTTTTAAAACCAGAAAGTATAAATCTTACAACTGTGTACTTCCTTTTCAAGATTATTTTGGCTACTCTGGGTCCCTTGCCTTTCTATATTAGTTTTAGGGTCAATTTGTCAATTTCTACGGGGGGGAATTTTTAAAAAAGCAATTGGGATTTTGATAGGGATTGCACTAAATCTGTAGATCACTTTGGGTAGTAATGCCATCTTAATATTGTCTTCCAATTCACAAATAATGGCTATCTAATTATTTAGATCTTTAATTTCTTTCAACAATATTTTGTGGTTTTCTGTGTTCAAGTCTTACACTCTTTTGGTTAAATTTACTCCTAAGTATTTTTTGCCTTTTGATATTATTACAAATGGAAATTTATTCTCAATGTAATTTTTAGGTTATTGCTAGTGTACAGAAATAAAGCTGATTTTTATATGTTGATCTCATTTCTTGTAACCTTGCTGAACTTGTTTATTAGTTCTAAGAGTTTTCTGGGTATATGTTTGTGGGTTCTTAAGGATTTTCTATATAAAATATTCTACCATTTATAAATAGTTGTTTCACTCTGGATGGCTTTTTTTCTTTCTTTCTTTTTTTTTTTTTTTTTAGCTCTGGCTGGAACTCAGCATAATGTTGAACAGAAGTGGCCAGAGTAGATATTCTTGCCATGCTCTTGATCTTAGGGGACAGGTACAATAATAGCTGTGGTATTTTTATAGATGTCACTTACAGGATTAAGGAAGTTCTTTGCTATTCCTAGTTTGTTGACTTTTTTTTGAGACAGAGTCTTGCTCTGTCGCCCAGGCTGGAGCACAATGGCACGATCTTGGCTTACTGCAACCTCCACCTCCTGGGCTCAAGCGATTCTCCTGCCTCAGCCTCCCGAGTAGCTGGGGTTACAGGTGTTTGCCATCACACCTGGCTGATTTTTGTATTTTTAGTAGAGACGAGGTTTCACCATGTTGGCCAGGCTGGTCTCGAACTCCTGACCTCAGGTGATCCACTTGCCTCGGCCTCCCAAAGTGCTGGGATTTACGGGTGTGAGCCACTGCGTTTGGCTGACTGTTTTAATCATAAAAGAATGTTGGATTTTGTCAAATGTTTTTTCTGTGTGAACTGAGATAACTGTATGGTTTTGTCGTCTATTAATATGGTGTATTACATTGACAGGTTCTGACCCTTGCATTCCTGGGTAAGTTCCTCTTGATCATGTTATATAATCCTTTAATACACCAGAGAAACAAGATTTCCTCTTTCTTTCTTTTTGAGACGGAGTTGCACTCTGCTGCCCAGGATGGAGTGCAGTGGTGCAATCTTGGCTCACTGCAACCTCCTCCGCCTCCTGGGTTCAAGTGATTCTCCTGCCTTGGCCTCCTGAGTAGCTGAGACTACAGGTGCCCACCATCATGCCCGGCTAATTTTTTGTGTTTTTCATAGAGACAGGGTTTCACCATGTCGACCAGACTGGTTTCAAACTCCTGACCTCAGGTGATCCGCCTGCCTCAGCCTCCCAAAGTGCTGGGATTACAGGCATGAGCCACTGCGCCTGGCCAAGATTTTCTTTTTAAATAACTTCTTTTCTTTTTCAGAGACAGAGTCTCACTCTGTCACCCAGGCTGAAGCACAGTGGTATGATAATAGCTCACTGCAGCCTTGAATTCTTGGGCTCAAGCAATCTTTCTGCCTCAGCCTCCCAAGTAACTGGGACCACAGGTGTACACCACCACACCCACAATTTTCCTTTTTGATACCTGGGTTGTATGTTTCTCAGTTTATCTTGGGAAACAAACCATCCAGTCTACCATGTCAGATGTTTAAGTCTGCGGTATAATAAAAACATATATTAGGTCTTTGTTCCCAGTTCCTGTCACTGACCTCCCAATTTCCTGAGTGACAGGGTTGTCTTTTGTTATTCATAACAAGATTCTTTTGACTATAATGAGTTTATGCTAATGAGGTGACTGATGACAAGGCTCCTATCTAGCTTCAGAATGGGGGCTGGTCTCCAGAGGAACCAACCAAGTGATAAGAGGATTGGAAATTTCAGTCCCACTTCCTGACCTCCTAGGAGGGGAAGGGAGACAGACATTACACTCAATCACCAGAAGTCAATGATTTAATCAATTATGCCTAAGTGATGGAACTTCAATTCAAAAATCTGAAAAACTGAGGGTAAGGAATATTCCAATTCGGTGAACACATCAAGGTGCTGGGAGAGGTGGCGTATCCAGAGAGGGGATGGAAGCTCTGGAGCCCTGCCGCTACTCCCCACATATGCCTCTCTTCCATTTGGCTGTTCCTGAATTGTATACTTTATAATGAAACTGTAATCCCAAGTATAGCATTTTCCTAAGTTCTATGACTCACCCTAGCAAATGATCACATGGAGTGGCATTGTTGGCATCCCCAAAATCTATAGCCAGCTTGGACAGAAGGCAGAAATGTGGGTAAGCCTGGGGACCCAGGACTTGCAAATGGCATCTCAAGTGAGGGCAATTTTGTAGGAATGAGTCCTTAAACTTGTGGAGTCTGATACTAATTCAGGGTAGTCAGTGTCAGAATAGCATTGAATAGCAGGACACCAGTTCATGTGGTAGAATCAGAGAATTGGTGGTTGTTGGAAACACACTGCAGAATCTCTAAACTGCTCTTACTACAGACTACTTACCTGAACAATAAAATAAAGAATAAGGAAATCAAAATAAAGCTTTTTTGTTTTAAGATTTGTATTTTTTTTTTTTTTTGAGATGGAGTTTCGCTCTTGTTGCCCAGGCTGGAGTACAATGGTGCGTGATCTCAGCTCACTGCAACCTCCACCCCCTGGGTTCAAGCGATTCTCCTGCCTCAGCCTCCCAAGTAGCTGGGATTACAGGCATGTGCCACCCCACCCAGCTAAGTTTGTATTTTTAGTAGAGACGGGGTTTCTCCATGTTGGTCAGGCTGGTCTCGAACTCCTGACCTCAGGTGATCCGCCCACCTCGGCCTCCCAGAGTGCTGGGATTACAGGCGTGAGCCACCGCGCCCAGCCAAGATCTGTGTATCTTTAAATAATTATTAAAAAATAATAAGCTTCTCCCAAAGATTTATTGTAGCAACAAAACAGTGGTAATGAGCCCTTAGGATTGCTACCATTAGGGGTATTATCTTGGGTCTAATATTGGTTTAAGACTTGGTCTTTGTGTATCTGGCCAAAATTTGCTTCAAAGAGTTACTGTTAACAAAACTCAAAGCCTAGAAGGTAGCAATAAGGCATGAAAAACAACTCTTAACAAGAAGCCACCTATGCTGTAGCAAAGAAACAGACATGCTTTGATACATAATTTTAACTTATAAAAAGTAACATCAGGCTGGGTGCAGTGGCTCATGCCTGCAATCCTAGCACTTCAGGAGGCCAAGGTGGGCAGATCACTTGAGGCCAGAAGTTCAAGACCAGCCTGGCCAACATGGCGAGACCCCATCTCTACTACAAATACAAAAATTAGCCGGGTGTGGTGGTGCACACCTGTAATTCCAGCTACTCAAGACACTAAGACACTAGAATCACTTGAACCCAGAAAGCAGAGATTGCAGTGAGCCAAGATTGTGCCACTGCACTCCAGCCTGGGTGATGAAGTGAGACTCTATCTCAAAAAAACCCAAAATACAGAAAAAAAAACAACATTTTCACATGCAATGGAACTATTTTCTTAGTTAGGTTTTTACTATATTAGTATTCCATATATTTCAAAATGCCTAGAAGCAATATTATATTTCTATAACATGAAAAATAAAGTTTTAAAAAATTACTACCGGACATTTCATTCATTCAATAAAAATTTATTAAGAAAAAATTCATTTCCAGAAAATCATTGTAAAATCACTGGTAGCTTCTATTTGGGGTCATCTTGTAAGATGGCTATACAGAGTTTTGGAGTAATTTACTAATTGTCTTGAATGGGGCTCTAGATAGACTGTCCAAAAACTTAAGAAAAAATTAGCAAATAACAACATTAACTTTTTTTTTTTTTTTTTTGGAGACGGAGTCTTGCTCTGTTGCCCAGGCTGGAGTGCAGTGGCGCAATCTTGGCTCATTGCAACCTCTACCTCCCAGGTTCAAGAGATTCTCCTGCCTTGGACTCTTGAGTAGCTGGGACGACAGGTGCACATCACCACACCCAGCTGATTTTTATAATTTTTAGTAGTGATGGGGTTTCACCATGTTGGCCAGGCTGGTCTTTAGCTCCTGACCTCAGGTGATCCTCCCACCTCAGCCTCCCAAAGTGCTGGGATTACAGGCATGAGCCACCATGCCCGGCCAACATTAACTTTTAGAAAATAGAAATACTTCAATAATAATGACTTCAACAGTACATTATATCCTGAAGATCAGTTGGAATATTTATTCTTCCTAACCAAGCACACAAATGTGTGTTCATGAAGGGTTTATACAAGTTCTAGGTCTTACCTCATCTATGTTTCTAAGCCATTTGCTGATGTTTTCAAAACTTTTACCATTGGTGATGTCATATACTAGCATGATACCCATTGCGCCTCTGTAGTAGGAGGTTGTGATGGTGTGAAATCGCTCCTGGCCTGCTGTATCCCTGAAATAAACAGCCAATAATTTCTATTAAGCATTTTGATATTACTACATTTCACATAAAGGACAAAACAAGAATAGTTTTTCCTAAGTATATATAAAAACTTTTTAGTTGAAGGAAATTAATAACCTACCCATACTGGATGAAAATCTGAAAGGGAAAACAGTAGGAAGTGACACATAAAACTCAAGTTTATTGAATAAGCACTAGCAAACACCATAGAAACTCTTAAAATTTCATTTTATTTAATAATTTAGTTCCATAATGTAACACAAAAGCAGGTAGGATTTTTAGAACATTAGAGAACTATACCATAGTACAGTCATATTTACATTTAGAATCATTAACCAAAAGTTGTAAAGATAACCTCACTTATAAATAATAAGACAGAAATGTAAATAGTAGTATTTTCCATTATTTAATGCTTAAAGCCAAAGGTGTAAGATGTATTTTGCTCCTGTAACTATGCCCTCTCATTTGTATCATCATTTTGCTCTTTTATGGATCATCTCATCAGCTTACAAACATGTTTTAGTATCTTTTTTAAAAAAGCAAAAATAAGGTCGGGCGCAGTGGCTCACACTTGTAATCCCAGCCCTTCGGGAGGCTGAGGCGTGTAGATCACTTAAGGTCAGGAGTTCAAGACACTTGGCCAACATGGTGAAACCCCATCTCTACTAAAAATACAAAAATTAGCCCGGCATGGTGGCACGTGCCTGTAATCCCACCTGCTCGGGAGGCTGAGGTAAGAGAACTGCTTGAACACAGGAGGCACAGGTTGCAGTGAGCCAAGATGGTGCCACTACACTCCAGCTTGGGTGACAGAGCGAGACTCCGTCTCAAAATAAATAAATAAATAAATAAATAAATAAATAAATAAATAAATAAATATAAAGCAAAAGACCCCAATCTCAACCCTGTATCTCTCCAACTATCCCTGCTCCTCTTTCGAGTTAATATTTTTAAAACTTTTATTTTGAAATAATTACAGCCTTACAGGAAGTTACAAAACTGTGCAGAGAGGTCCTGGGTACCTTTCACCCAGCTTTTCCTAATGATAACATCTTATATTACTGCAGCATAATAGCAAAACCAGAAAATGGACATTGGATACAATCTACAGACCTTATTAAGATTTCAGGGTTTTTTTTTTTTACATGCACTTATTTGTGTATGTGTGTATATATAGTTCTCTACAATTTATTACATGTACAGATTTGTGTAACTACCACAAGACAAAGAACTATTACATCACCTCTTTACTCCCCATAGTCCCTAAACTCTGATCAATAATCTGTTTTCTATGTTTATATTTTTTTCATTTCCAGAATGTTACGTAAGTGGAATCATGTAGTATGCTACCTTTTGAAATCGGCATTTAACACTTCTTTCACCATAATGCTCTTGAAGTCCTCTCAAGTTTTGCACATAATCCTGGTCTGTCCCATTTCATTGCTGGGTAGCATTCTATGGTATGTCTGTATCACAATTTGCTTAATTATTCACCCATGGAAGGACATTCAGGGTTGTTTCCAGTTTTTGGCTATAACAAAGTTCGAAGAATATTCATTTACAGGTTTCTATGTGGACATAATTTTTCATTTCTTTGAAATAAATGCCCAGGAATGTTATTTATGGGTAATATGGTAAGTGTATAACGGTAAGAAACTGGCCAACTTTTTCCAGAGTGGCTCTATCACTTGACATTTGCACTAGCAACATATAAAAGATCCAGTTTCTCTGCATCCTCACCAGCATTTGATGCTGTCACTTTTTTATTTCTGTAGTTCTAAGAGGGCACATAGTAATATTTCATCATCACATTAATCTGTATTTCCCTGTGGCTAAGATGGTGAACATTTTTTCATGTGTTTATTTGCCATCCACATGTCCTCTTTGGTGAAATGTCTGGTTTTTTTTTTTGCCCATTTTCTAATTGGATTGTTAGTTTTTTGTTTTTGGGGTTTTTTTTTTGAGATAGAGTTTCGATCTTGCCGCCCAGGCTGGAGTGCAATGGCACAGTCTCGGCTCACTGCAACCTCTGCCTCCTGGGTTCAAGTGATTCTCCTGCCTCAGCCTCCCAAGTAGCTGGGATCACAGGCGCCCACCACCACGCCCAGCCAACGGTTGTATTTTTAGTAGAAATGGGGTTTCACCATGTTGGCCAGGCTCGTCTCAAACTCCTGACCTCAGGTGATCAGCCCGCCTCAGCCTCCCAAAGTGCTGGGATTACAGGCGTGAGCCACCGTGGCTGGCCTGGATTGTCAGTTTTTTTGTCTTTTTACTGCTGACTTTTGAAAGTTCTTTTTATACAGAAGTCCTTTGTCAGATACACTGGCTTGTAAATATTTTCTCCAAGTCTGTAGCTAGTCTTTTCATTCCCTTGACAGGGTATTTTGTAGAGAGGAAGCTTTTAATTTTGTGAAAGTCTAATTAATTTACTGATTTTTTTTTCTTTTACAGATCATGTGTTTAGTGTTATGTCTAAGAATTCTTCACCTAGTCTTTTTTTTTTTTTTTTTTTTGAAACAGGGTGTCGCTCTGTTGCCCAGGCTGGAGTGTAGTGGCACGATCTTGGCTCACTGCAACCTCCGCCTCCCAGGTTCAAGAGATTCTCCTGCCTCAGCCTCTGGAATAGCTGAGATTACAGGCACGTGCCACCACATGCAGCTAATTTTTATATTTTTAGTAGAGATGGGTTTTCGCCATGTTGGCCAGGCTGGTCTTGAACTCCTGGCCTCAGATGATCTGCCCGCCTCAGCTTCCCAAAGTGCTGGGGTTACAGGCGTGAGCCACCACACCCAGCCTCTTCACGTAGTCTTATGTTCCAAAGATTTTCTCCTGTATTTTCTTCTAAAAGCCTTATGGGTCTTTTTTTCTTTTTTTGAGACAGAGTCTTGCTCTGTCGCCCAGGCTGGAGTGCAGTGGTGTGATCTCGGCACATTGCAACCTCTGCCTTTCGGGTTCAAGAGATTCTCCAACCTCAGCCTCCCAAAGAGCTGGGACTATAGGCGTGTGCCACCACACTGGACAATTTTTGTATTTCTAGTAGAGACGGGGTTTTGCCATGTTGGCCAGGCTGATCTCAAACTCCTGACCTCAGATGATCCACCCGCCTCAGCCTCCGAAAGTGCTGGGGTTATAGGCGTGAGCCACCGTGCCCGGCCACCTTATGGTTTTATTAAACCGATGGTACATTTTGAGTTAATTTCAAATAGGACATTTCTATGAATGTCCTATTGCTCAAGCACCATTTGCTTGAAATGTCGAAGTAATAACCTTGCTCCATTGAATTGCTTTTGTACCTTTGTCAAAAATCTGCAGGCCATACCACAGTTCAATCTGTGTCTGGGTTCTTTATTCTGTTGCAATCTCCTATGTGTCTAGGCCTCCTCCATTACCATACTGTCCTAGATTACTATGGTTAAATAAAAAGCTTTACAACCAGATAGATTGATTCTTCCCACTTATTTTACTTTGTCAAATTGTTTTAGCTACCCTAGCCTTCCCATATAAATACTAGGATAAGCTTGTCTATATTTACATAAAAATTTTCCCAGCAAATTTCTTTAAAGAGTTTTCTCCAGTTGCTGTTTTCCCACTTTCAGTCCTTAACTGATTCTAATAGGATTGCTATTACTGATTACTCTATCAAAACTCCTTTTCAGAAGGTCTCCAATAACCTGGATGCCAAACCCAATAGCTATTTCCTCTTTATATATCATCCACCTATTAATGACAGGGATATATTCTGAGAAATGCATCATTAGACTATGTCATCATTGTGCACACATCATAGAGCGTACTTATACAAACCTAAATGATTAGAGCCTACAACATACCTGCACTATGTGGTATATAGCATATTGCTCCCAGGCTACAAACCTGTAGAGTATGTGACTATATTGAATACAGTAGACAACTATAACACAATAAGTATTTGTGTATCTAAATATGTCAAAACATAGAAAAGGTACAGTAAAAATGTGGTATTACAATATTGATAAGACAACCATTGTGTATGTAGTCACTGACTAAAATATCATTATGCACTGTATGACTGCATCTTAATCACTAAGTAGGATTCTACACAGTTGACTGCATTCTCTTTTTTCTTTTTATTTTTTTCCTGAGACGGAGTCTCACAGAGTACAGTGGCACAATCTCGGCATACTGCATCCTCCACCTCCCGGGTTCAAGTGATTCTCCTGTCTCAGCCTCCCAAGTAGCTGGGATTACAGGTGTGTGCCACCACGCCCAGCTAATTTTAATATTTTTAGTAGAGATGGGGTTTCACTATGTATGTTGGCCAGGCTGGTCTCAAACTCCTGACCTCAGGTGATCTGCCTGCCTCGGCCTCCCAAAGTGCTGAGATTACAGGTGTGAGCCATTGTGCCCAGCCGACTGCATTCTCTTCTTGTAACACTTTATTCTCATGACTCTTTGGATAAGTTTCTGGTCTTCATTCTAAGTCACTGGCTGCTTGTTAACAATACCTTTTGTTGGCATTCTAAGATTCAGAGATGATGGACTGCCGTTCTCCACACACCAGCCAGAGTGATCTTCTTTAAACATTATGTTTGATCATATTATTCTGCTTAAAACTTCTAATATCTTCATTGGGGAAAAAAAACAGGCTTTCCAACAAATGGTGCTGGAACAACTGAATATATCCATGCAAAAGAAGTAAGTTGGACCTCTACCCCATACCATATATAAAAATTACCTCAAAATGGCAGGGCGCGGTGGCTCACGCCTGTAATCCCAGGACTTTGGGAGGCCGAGGCGGGTGGATCACGAGGTCAGGAGACTGAGACCATCCTGGCTAACACAGTGAAAACCCAACTCTAATAAAAATACAAAAAATTAGCCGGGCGTGGTGGTGGGCACCTGTAGTCCCAGCTACTCAGGAGGCTGAGACAGGAGAATGGCATGAACCCAGGAGGCAGAGCTTGCAGTGAGCCGAGATAGCGCCACTGCATTCCAGCCTGGGCGACAGAGCAAGACTCCATCTCAAAAAAAAAAAAAAAAAATTACCTCAAAACAGATCAAGACCTAAATCCAACAGCTGAACTATAAAAACTCTTAGAAGAAAACATAGGGGTCATCTTCAAATCTTGGATTTGACAACTGTTTCTTACACATGTCACCAAAGCACAAACAACAAAAGAAAAAACAGGTAAATGGGACGTGAAAATTAAAAACTTGTATTTCAGCGAACAATACAAGGTGAAAAGACAACCCACAGAATGGAAGAAACTATTTGCAAACTTGTGTATCTGATATGGGACTTGGGTATGCAGAATATACAAATAACTTACAACTCAACAATAAAAGGACAAATGACCAAACTTAAAAATCAGCAAAAGATCTAAACAGGCATTTATCCAAAGAAGATACACAAATAGCCAATAAACACTTAAGATGCTCAACATCCTTAGTCATTAGTGAAATGCAAATAAAAACCATAATGAGATACCAACCTAGCTCCCCACCACCACAGGATGGCTATGACCCAAACGACAATATACGTTAGTGAGGATGTAGAGAAATTGGGACCCTTATACCCTGTTGGTGACAATGTAAAATGATGCAGCCATGTTAGAAAACAGTCAGGTAGTTCCTCAAAATGTTCAACATGGAGGTACCATATGATCCAACAATTCTAGGCATATAACCAAAAGAAATGAAAACTTGTACGTCCACACAAAAACGTAGACGTGAATGTTCACAGCAACATTATTCATAATAGCCAAAAAGCAGAACAACTGAAAGGTCCATTACTAATGAACGGATAAATAAAATGTGGTATATCCATACAATGGAGTATTATTCAGCCATTAAAAAAAAAGAATGAAGTACTGATTCATGTACAACACAGACAGACCCTGATAACCTCATGCTAAGTGAAAGAAACTAGTCACAAAAGACCATATATTATATGATTCCATCTATTTGAAAAGTCCACATAAAGAAATTTTATACAGACAAAGTTGATCAGTGGTTTCCCTGGCCAGGGAATTGGGAGGATAAAGAGTGACAGGTATGGGGTTTCCTTGGAGGGGAGATAAAAATGTTCTGAAATGGTAACGATGGTTGTACAAATTTGTGAATATACTAAAAACTATTAAATTGTTTTAAATGGGTATATTGTATGGTATGTGAATTATGTATAAAAAAGTCATTATAAAACAAACTGAAAATATGACTAGGCTTTCCAAAAAAATAAAAGTAAAAACAGAAAACTTCCAATAAAAACTCATTATAACCAGAATCAATTCCAAACTCTTTATTCTGGGGATTACAAAGCCTTACAGTAGTTTAAACCCTTCTCCAGCCCCTCTCATTTTGAGGTACTCTTTTCCCCAATCACTAGAAACCATTTTTAAATTCGTAAGTTTGTTCCTACTAAGAGCTTCTGCAAGATCTGTTCCCACTACCTGCATATGACTGGTTTCTCAAAATCTTTTCATATCTTAAATGCACTTAGCATGTTCACATATCTGCCATCTATTCATTTATCCATCAATCCGAATATTAACTGAATGTCTACTATAGGTTGGGCATTATGCAAGAATATACACAGAACATGGGTTTGGGGTCAGGCTTAAGTTTATCCTCAGGTTCTACCCCTCCCAGCTTAGTGACCTTGAATGTACTTAGCTTCCTTGGACCTTAGTAGTTGTTGTTGTTGTTTTCACTTATAAACAATAAGGAGGGATAATGAACAATAAGAAGTATTTTCCATAAAAATATGCAAGGCTGCAATAATGTCAACGTGAGACTCAAAATTTCATTCTATGTTTTTAAGATGTCCTAACAATGCTCTAAATCAAGACCATCTTTGCAGACAGATGCTCTATGGTATTAAGAGCTCTCAAGTTAATATTTATCTGTGCTTACGCAGTACTCAAAGCTGCTTCACAAGGAAAACCCTGGCTTTGCCTGTAGCCCATTTCTATGTAAGTAAAATAAAATGGTGTTTAGCTAAGTGAAAGACTTGGACTTTTTAATCTTAAGAAAATCACAGCCTGGCCAGGGGCAGTGGCTCACGCCTGTAATCCTAGCACTTTGGGAGGCCGAGGTGGGCGGATCACAAGGTCAGGAGATCGAGACCATACTGGTTAACACGGTGAAACCCCGTCTCTACTAAAAATACAAAAAATTAGCTGGACGTGGTGACAGGCACCTGTAGTCCCAGCTGCTCAGGAGGCTGAGGCAGGAGAATGGCATGAACTCAGGAGGCAGAGCTTGCAGTGAGCCGAGATAGCGCCACTGCACTCCAGCCTGGGTGACAGAGCGAGACTCCGTCTCAAAAAAAAAAAAAAAAAGAAAGAAAAAAGAAAAAAAAAAATCACAGCCCAGTCACTTGCTCATTTCATCTCAAAATATATAGATCTGCCCTGGAAAATAAGACAATATCCCATTCTTTCATTCTACCAGTATTATTAAGTACTACACACTAGACATTATTCCAGGCACAAGAGATAAAGCTGTAAATGAAATAAAAATTCCTGCCTATTGAAGATAAACACATAAATAAAACATTATGGAATGTCAGAGAATTATTAAGTGTTAAGGAAACAGAAAGCAGAGCAAGAAAAGAGATTAAGCCTTCTCAGAGAAAATACCAAATGGCAGATCCTGCCACTATCATGGGAGGGTGTGAAGGCACTAGGGGCCCTAGACTGGGAGGCTTCAGGAGTGGTGACTGGGCCAGGGTTGCTGCTGAGGCCTAGGAGCTCAAGGAGGCAAGGACAAGGACAAGGAATAGCTCTCTGTCACCAAGGTGGGTTACCTGATCAAAGACATGACGAGTTCCTGGAGGAAATCTCTCTATTCTCCCCGCCCATCAAGGAGTCTGAGATCGTTCACTTTTTCCTAAGGATGTCCTCAAAGATGAGGTTTTGAAGATTATGCCCATGCAAAAAGAGACCTATGCTGGCCAGTGGACCAGGTTCAAGGGATTTGTCACAGTCAGGGACAAGAGTCACATCAGTCTGTGTGTTAGGTATTCCAAGGAAGTAGTCCCTGCCATCTGCAGGCCACCATTCACTGGCCAACCTCTCCATTTCCCATGTGCAGTGAAGCTACCTGGGGAACAAGATCATTAAGACCCACAGTCCCTTGCCAGGTAACCACTGCAGCTCTGTGCTGGTGGCCTCATCCCAGTCCCTAGAAGCACTGCCCGCCCCTGTGCCCAAAAGCTGCTGCTGATGACCCCTATCAATGACTGCTACACCTCCACCAGGAGCTACACTGCTACCCTAGGCACCTTTGCCAAGGTCACCTTTAATACTATCTTCAAGACCTATAGCTATCTCATCCCCAACACCTCAAGAAAGACAACACGTTCAATGAGTCTCCCTATCAGGAATTCACTGACCATCTTGTAAGACCCATACCGGAGTCTCCATGAAGAAGACCCAGGCTCCAGCTGTGGCTGCTATGTAGTGCTTTTATACAAGAAAAATATAGTGAATTAACTAGGACTCTGAAAAGGGAGAGGGTCCAGCCTGGGCAACATGGTAAAAAGCATAGTAAGATCTAGACTTACCCCACTAAAATGTAAGCTTTTGCAGGCAGGGCTCCTATCTGTCCGATTTATGCTTATATTCCTACCACCAACACCTGGCAAATACATACTCAACAAACATTTATTGACTAAATGACTTTGGTTGCTTACTGTTCGTATTTCACTTCTCATCTTAAACATCACCTCTATAGAGAGGACCTCCCTGATCATTCTATCTAGATCACTTCCTCCCTCATCCTTACCCCATTCTCCAACACTTTACCCTATTCACCTTGCTAGCATTTATCACAATTTGTGATATATTTATTTACTTGTTTGCTCCTGTCCCTATGGGTGTGAGCTCTGACAGGGCAGGTGTCAGGCTGTCTACTTTTGGGAAAAAAAAAAAAAAATCCTTGAATGAAGACAAACATAATTTAAGTTCATGGTATTTTGGGTATAGACAAATTGTTTATCTCTGAAGACATCCAGGTCTTCTTAAAATAAAATGCAACATGAGAAATTTGACATCCTAATTTATAAGGTAAGGAATAACTTCATTATGTTACCAAAAAACACAGGGTTATGAAATCTGGGGTCTCTGCCTTGCAGAGCAGATTGATATGCCTCTGGCCTGTACTGGTTTTGTCAGTGCCCAGACCAAAAATAACTGTCACAATAACAGCCAGAGTACACAGCTTCCCCAACCCCAAGTGTGGTACTAACAATTAAGGAAATATACCTTTTTAATTCCTAGAAACGTATCACTTCTTTTTTATAATGTCAGTGGGAAAAGTAGGATTTCACAGCAATTATTGGCTGTCTATTTATTACTTTAAGTAAGGACAATTCTATTCTCATTGTCTTGTAATTTCAGAAACTTGATCTTACTAAGTAGACTGTCAGGGAATAATTTTTTAATGGCAGAGGATAAGAGAGTAGTTTTGAAAGCAGGCTTAGAAACCTGTATTATGGTGACATAAAAAGATACTGTGAACATGTACAATGTTTAATTGTCCCTTCAGATATTTAACACCTTCTTTTGCTTATTGGATTTGACCTGCTGGACTGGATTAGACTTGGGCATATGTGTGTATGCAAACCTAAAAATAATGTCACCAATAAACAAGCAGCTGTGGCTATTTTTAGCCCTGGGCAACAGATCATCAGTAAGCCTAGAAATAGTGAGGCAAGGACCCTGTTCCCTGATTTGAAATAAACTATTGATTGCCTTAACAACTGGTGGGGGATGGTATAATCAGAGTCCGGGTAGGACCCAGGACAGGACCCAGGAAAAGGATACTTTAAAATCAAGGAGCTAGGTCATTCTGCGGGGTAGATACAGTCATGTTGAAAAGTATAAAAGTTTGAAATACATAAATGAAAATGGGATCTAGAATGTTAAAAAAAAATTGACCAGGCGCAGTGGCTCACACCTGTAATCCCAGCACTTTGGGAGGCCAAGGCGGGCGGATCACGAGGTCAGGAGATCGAGACCATCCTGGCTAATACAGTGAAATCCCGTCTCTACTAAAAATACAAAAGAAATTAGCCAGGTGTGGTGGCGGGCACCTATAGTCCCAGCTACTTGGGAGGCTGAGGCAGGAGAATGCCGTGAACCTGGGAGGTAGAGCTTGCAGTGAGCCGAAATAGCGCCACTGCTCTCCAGCATGGGCGACAGAGCGAGACTCCACCTCAAAAAAAAAAAAAAAAAAAAAAAAAACCCAAAAAAACAAAAAACAGAAATACAGTGACAGAAAGCACAGTGGCTGCCTGGGGACCAGGGGTAGCAGGGAAGAAGGGATTACAAAAGATCACAAAGAGGCTTGAGGAAACTTTTGAGGTGACAAATATGTTCACTATCTTGACTGGTGATTGTTTTACAGGTTTATACGTATGTCAAAACTTAACAAATTTTACACTTTATGTGCACTTATTCTATATCAGTTAGATTATACCTCAATAAAGCTGTTTTCTCAAAAGGAGTAACAGATTTCACAGGGTCCTTTTTAGTAATTAATGGGTTAATATACATAATACACATTTGCTGGAAAATATTGCCATTATAATTCTAAATTCTATGATTCAGACAAATACAAATTCAAAGGTTTGTACTTCTTCAGGCAAACCTAACACAAACTAATAAAAATAATGCCCATAAAAAGTTAAAAACATATTAAAGAAAACAAACATTTTCGCAATGCATTTCACTAAAAACTTTGCATATATTATTTCATGTAATCCTTGTAACAATCCATTGAGACGGGTGTTACTATCTCCCTTTACATATGAAGATAAAAAGCCTAATAATGAGTATATAATCTGCCTCAGTTCACACGGTAAGTAGAAAAGATTATTAGATCTCATGGACTTAAGTCCATGCAATGGTTTTTACTGCACAAAAAGGTCACCTGACTGCCTGCTTTAAAAACAAAAGTCTCACAGAATCTAAACCTGTGACAAAAAAGAATTTCACTGTGAAACCTTAAGGAACCTGACATTCTGCTACATAAAGTAAATTAGCATCACTTACCATATCTGTAGCTTGATCTTCTTTCCTTGTAATTCAACTGTTTTGATCTTGAAGTCTATTCCTACAATGCAGAAAAAAAGGTAAACTGTAACTGTGGCTTTACATTTGGCTATACTAAAATTAATCACAGTAAAAACGCTCACACCTTTTAAACTTGTCTGTGTTTGTTTGATTCCAGATATTCACCAAGTATGCAACACTGAGCAAATGTATCCAATTTTAAACCTGAGTAATACAAGATCCAGGATAGGAGGAAAAATAGATACAGAAAAGACCAAGTTTTGGGCTGGGCATGGTGGCTCACGCCTCTAATCCCAGCACTTTTGAGAGGCTGAGGTGGGCAGATGGTGTAAGCCCAGGCGTTCGAGACCAGCCTGGGCACATGGTGAAACCCTGTTTCTACTAAAAATACAAAAATACTAAAAACACAAAAAATTAGCCAGGCATAGTGGCACACAACTGTAGTCCCAGCTGCTCAGGAGGCTGAGGTGGAAGAATCCCTTGAACCCAAGAGGCAGAGGTTGCAGTGAGCCTTTAATTGTGCCACTGCACTTGAGCCTGGGCAACAGAACAAGACCATGTCTCAAAAAAAAAAAAAAAAAAAAAAAAAAAAGAAAGAAAGAAAGAAAGAAAAAGAAGAAAGAGTGAGTTTTTACAAATTAGGATATAAGAAAGTAAAATTTAAAATATCTAATATTCTAACACATACGAATAAAAAGGTTCCTAGTGGGGGAAAAATATTGCCTTCACTAAGCTGCAGAACAAAGGAAAACTACCAAGGATAGAGGGTCATTTCATAATGATAAAGCAGTCTATTCTTCAGGAAGGGATAAAAATACAAATGTTTAGCATGAAGCAAAAATTAATAGAACTGCGAAGAGAAATACATAAACCTACAATTATAGTTGGAGACTTCAACATCCTTTCCCTCAAAACCAGATTTCTTTAAGTAGACAGAAAAATCAATAATGATACAGAAGACTTAAACCACACTATATTAACCAATTTGACATAACTGACATATACAGAAATCTCCATCTAACAGCAACAGAATACATACCATTTTCAAGTGCAGACTGAGTATGTATCAAGAGAAAACATAAGGGTCGTAAAAGAAGTTTCAACACATTTAACAGTATTGAAGTTGCCAGGCACGGTGGCTCACGCCTGTAATCCCAGCACTTTGGGAGGCCAAGGCAGGCGGATCACCTGAGGTCAGGAGTTCGAGACCAGTCTGGCTAATGTGGTGAAACCCCGTCTCTACTAAAAACACAAAAATACCATGCCCAGGTGTGGTAGGGCATGCTTGCAATCCCAGCTACTTGGGAGGCTGACGCAGAAGAATCACTTGAACCCGGGAGGTGGAGGATGCAGTGAGCTGAGATCGCGCCACTGCACTCCAGCCTGGGCGACAGAGTGAGACTCCGTCTCAAAAACAAACAAAGAAAAGAGTATTGAGGTCATACAAAGTATGTTTTCATTTTCTGGTTTTTTGTTTGTTTGTTTTGAGACAAGGTCTTGCTCTGTCACCCAGGCTAGAGTGCAGTGGCATGATCTCAGCTCACTGTAACCTCCACTTCCCGGCTTAAGTGATCCTCTTACCTCAGCCTTCCAAGTAACTAAGACCACAGGCACGAGCCACCATGTCTAGCTAAGTTTTGTATCTTTTTGTAGGACGGGGTCTTGCCACGTTGCCCAGGCTGGTCTCGAACGCTCAAAGTGACCCACCGGCCTTGGCCTCCCAAGGTGCTAGGATTACAGGCGTGAGCCACCGCACCCAGCCCAAAGTATGTTTTCTGTCTGCAACAAAACTGAACTGGAAATCAATAACAGAAATACATCTGGGAAAACTCCCAAATATTTGGAAATTCATGGTCAAAAAAGAAATTATAGTGAAAATTAGAAAATTTCTGAAATGAATTAAAATGAGAATATCAAAATTTGTAGGATACAGCTAAAGCAATATTTCAGAGAGAAATTCATAGTATTATATTAGTATTCATAGTTCACATTAGGAAATAAAACTGTAACAAAATTCAAGCATTGTTTCAGAAGGGGTCAAATACCAAAAGAACAGGTTAAGTCAGTAATTCTTAAAGTATGTTCCAAAGATCAAAAAAGCCAAGTTTTCAAAAGTAGTTCCCTATAGGGCTTAACTTGACAGAGTAGAAAAGAAGTTACTAGAGAAAGAAAAAGGTACCTTCAAAACAAAGTCAATCCAGAAAAAGGCATAAGCCGCAAACTAAACATTACTAGAAGATCCATCCATCCATCCATCCATCCATCCATCCAGCCAGCCAGCCATCCATCCAGCCATCCATCCGCCCACCCACCCACTATGGCAAGCACACTACAAAAATACTCTAAAGTTCTGGCATACATCCTTACACTTTCTACATCAGAATTCTGAAGCTGCTCTGTGACTGTATCATGTTATGAATGACAGCAATAGTCCATTTGACTTGAAGGCAATAAATGGAGTAAAAAGACAGTAAAAAGCAAAGTGAAAGACAGGGCTAACATCTGTTTATAAAAGGAATATTAAGTAAATTTGCAGACAAATTTGAGTTATTCAATCCCAGCAATAGAGCAGTCCCAATAAACTGAAACTTATTTCACTACAAAACATCCAGAAATGTTTCATATATCAAGCACACTGGCAATAAATTTCTCCAAGAGAAATTGCTGTACACCAGAAATAAAGACGGAACTGAAAACCAGAGCAGATAAATAGGCGTTACTTGCACTTCGGCAGTGGCAGGGCTGTGAGAACAAAACCAAAGAGCTTGCTTTTTGTTCTGTTTTGTTTTTTGGAGACTGGCTGTCGCTCTGTCACCCAGGATGGAGTGCAGTGTCAGTCATGGCTCACTGCAGCCTCGACCTCCTGGGCTCAGGTGATCCTCCCACCTCAGCCTCCTGAGTAGCTGGGACTACAGGTATGTGCCACCCTGCCCAGCTAATTCTTGTATTATTTGTAGAAACGACGTCCCAATATGTTGCCCAGGCTGGTGCTCCAACTCCTGGGCTCAAGTGATCCTCTTGCCACAGACTCCCAAGATGTCAGGATTACGGGCGTGAGCCACTGCGTCCAACCTGAGCTTGCTTTTTTTTTTTTTGAGACGGAGTCTCGCTCTGTCGCCCAGGCTGGAGTGCAATTGCGCTATCTCAGTTCACTGTAAGCTCCGCCTCCCGGGTTCATGCCATTCTCCTGCCTCAGCCTCCTGACTAGCTGGGGCTACAGGCATCCGCCACCATGCCTGGCTAATTTTTTGTATTTTTAGTAGAGACGGGGTTTCACCGTGTTAGCCAGGATGGTCTCGATCTCCTGATCTCGTGATCCGCCCACCTTGGCCTCCTAAAGTGCTAGGATTATAGGCATGAGCCACCGCGCCCGGCCTGAGCTTGCATTTTTAACAGCCATACTGAGAACACGATGAAAGGTCTAGGTCTGGAGGCTTTAAGTAATTGGAACCAATAAATTCTTTGCCTGAAACCCAGAAAGGACTACAATCTTAGTGAGAGTTGCCTAGGGAAAAAAACAAAACACAACTATTCACTGGCAAAGGGCGATCATAAGGAAGTTTCTGATACCAGGCCTCATGGTTCAGATTTGACAATCCGAATACATAAAAAATGATCCTTGGCTATTAACAGCAAACGTAAAAACTGTCTGAAGGTACAAATCCTTTCTTCAGACCCTACAGGATTCCCACAAATAAAACTCTATTTAATACTAGCTCATTAAATTAAGAAACATTAAACGCCACATAAAACTTACCCATTTTGAGTAAGTTAACAAAGACAACCGAACCCCCAAATTTTCAAATGCAATAATTACTTAACATGATTAAAATTACTAAGTGGGGCCGGGCACAGTGGCTCACGCCCGTTATCCCAGCACCTTGGGTGGCTGAGGCGGGGGTATCACTTTAAGTCAAGAGTTCAAGACTAGCCTGGCCAATGTGGTGAAACTCCGTCTCTACTAAAAATACAAAAATTAGCCAGGCATGGTGGCACGTGCCTGTAATCCCAGCTACTCGGGAGGCTGAGGCACGAGAATTGCTTGAACCCGGGAGGCGCAGGCTGCAGTGAGCCAAGATCGCACCACTGCACTCCAGCCTGGGCAACAGTGCAAAGCTATGTCTCAAAAAAATACATAATAAATAAATACGGCCAGGTGCGGTGGCTCACGCCTGTAATCCCAGCACGTTCAGAGGCTGAGGCGGCAGGGTCACCTGAGGTCAGGAGTTTGAGACCAGCCTAGCCAACATGGTGAAACCCCATCTCTACTAAAAATATAAAAATTAGCCGGGTGTGGTGGTGGGCGCCTGTAATCCCAGCTACTTGGGAGGCTGAGATAGGGGAATTGCTTGAACCCGGGAGGTGGAGGTTGCAGTGAGTCAAGACCGTGCCACTGCACTCCAGCCTGGGTGACAAGAATGAAACTCTGTCTCAAAAACATAAAATGAAGTGAAAAAATGAGATGAAATGAAATGGATGAAATAAGGGGGCTTTTTTTTTAAGTAAGGAAAAAGGCTGGGTGTGGTGGCTCATGCCTATAATCCTAGCACTTTGGCAGGCCAAGGTAAGAGGACTGCTTGAGTCCAGGAGTTTAAGACCAGCCTGAGCAACAAGGCAAAACCTCATCTCTACAAAAAAATTAGCCAGGCATGGTGGTGCACACCTGTAGTCCCAGCTACTTGGGAGGCTGTGGTGGGAGGATCACCTGAGTCCAGGAGGTTGAAGCTGCAGTGAGCTGTGATCATGCCACTGCACTCCAGCCTGAGCAACACAGTTAACACCCCACTCCTCAAAATAAATAAAAAACATGAGAAAAACAAAAACAAGGTAGTAAATTTTTCATAAAGCTTGACTTTAAAAGATGTCCTTTTATTGAGATTACAGCCAGGGTAAGTTTTTGAAAATGACAAGTTGATTTGTTTTCTCTATGCTTTCAGGATAAAATTGTGAAAATGCCTCTTAGTATCAAAGTCTTCAGTCTACATGACATCCCTGATCATCATGTTTTCTCATGTCTCTCGTTTAGCATATGCTACTTCGTAAATCCTCTCCTCATCCCAGTTTTCTTTTCCTGGTAAACTTCATTTATCTTTCGAGATTCAGTTTTGCTCCTGTGGAACAAACACAAAAGAGGTATCTATGCAAGCCTCAACTGATAGTGAACATTTAATTAAGCAATCTAAATACATAAACAGACCTAAAGGTAAATCGAACTTCAGAAGAAAATATGTGCTGCAATCTTAAATATATATTATGAGATAATTAAAACCTGTTATGTGTTTCTAAAGAATATTGGTTTGATCCATATTGCTGACATTGTCTTTCCATGGCAGATGGATGATAGTATACACCAATAATTAAAACTTCAAATAAAGACTTCATACAT
This sequence comes from Homo sapiens, assembly GCF_000001405.40. NCBI lineage: Eukaryota > Metazoa > Chordata > Mammalia > Primates > Hominidae > Homo > Homo sapiens. The sequence goes on along the minus strand of NC_000002.12, from coordinate 26,093,315 downwards.
TTTTCCAGGGAAAAAATTATTTTTGGTCCAAATATTCTGGGGATCCACGGAAGAAAAAAGAAAACAAAGTCCTTGCCCATAAACTTCTGCAAAGAGGTCCTGGGGTAGGGAAATGCTCACCATATAAAAGGAAGAAACAATATCATTCAGTGAGTTTCCTGCCCATACCTTAGCTCTACTCTGCATCTCATTTTTCATAACTAACCTCTCACCAAGAAATGGTTTAACACCAACCTTCAACAAAACCTGTTATCCCTAGAATCTACAATAATGCCCCTATCCCTTCAAACTCTTGGGTTTACCTTATTGCTCCCCTCTTAATTTGAGCCAGTCTGCTTTTTAATCAGTCAAAATCTTTCAGCTTGCCCCATTATGTTTCTCATACACAATCAAAAGAAAAAAGGGTCATTTACCCACCATTTAACCTAACCCTACTTCTACAGTCCATATTGTTTTTCTTTAAGAATTTCTCAGAAAATCATCCTAAAATGACCCGGCTGTCTAGACTAACCCTGAACATGACCAACAACTTCAGCTAGGTATACAATTTATTAATTAATCTTAATGACAAGTGTGACAACTGATACTATTTCAGGAAACTTGCCTGAAGAAAGATGAAATAAGGATACAATCTGAAAGCGCTAAACCCCCTGGCATGGAAACTAGGCATCACTGGAAAATGTCTAAGAATTTGGGCTGTTTTCAGGTACCTACTTAATCTAACTGGTCAAGACAGAAGCCTCATTTTGGACTCCTTGAGTTTCCCTCACATTTCTTCTAGTCAATAATCACAACTACTAGGTTCTATTACTAAACCTTTTAAATTTGGAGGTTAAGGATCCTTCCTCACTAAGTTTCCTCTCTATTTCACTTTTTGTTTTTACCAAACTTCTTCGAAGTTACCTATATGTGCTGTCTCTAGTTTTCTCTCCTCTCACCTCTTGAATCCTTTCCAAACAGGCTTTGTTGTTGTTGTTATTATTAACCACCCCAACACACACACACACACACACACACACACACACACACACACACACACACACACACACACACAGCTCTCACTATGATCAATGATCTCCATGTTCCCAAATCCAATGATCATTCCTAAGTCCTCATCTGATCTTTTTTCTTTTTTTTTTTTTCTGAGACACAGTCTCACTCTTTCATCCAGGCTGGAGTGGAGTGGCACTATCTCAGCTCACTGCAACCTCTGCCTTCCAAGTTCAAGCAATTCTCCTGCCTCAGCCTCCTGAGAAGCTGGGACTACAGGCACGCACCACCACACATGGCTAACTTCTGTATTTTTAGTAAAGTCAGGGTTTCACCATGTTGGCCAGGCTGGTCTCGAACTCCTGACCTCAGGCGATCCACTCACCTTGGCCTCCCAAAGTTCTGGGATTACAGGCATGAGCCACCATGCCTGGTCCTCATCTGATCTTACTAGCTGTAGATGAAGGAATTCTTCACTCTTTTTTGCATGAAAACTCCTGACTCTCCTACCTTTCTAGCCACTCATCAATCTTCATTGCTGGTTTCTCCTCATCTCTCTGACCCCTAAAAACTGAAGTGGACTTCTCTTTTCTATCTTGACGCATTCCCTAGTTTCATGGCTTTAAATTCCACATACACACTGATGATCTCTCACCTCAACTCTCCCCTGAACTCCAAATCCAAGATACCCAACTGCTTATTAGTTATCTCCATATCCCATCTCTTACAAAGACTAAAAGGAAAACTCTTTAAATCCATAAATAAGGCCCTACATATTCTCCCACCTACCCCTCTCTACCCTGCCCTCAACATTTTCTACATCATCTCACTCTGATCTAGCTAATTGTATTGACTTCCTTTTTGTTGCTCTATGCACAAGACAGCCAGGTTCGCCTCTCACTACCTTTCCATAAAGGTACTATTCCCCTAACCTCTGACTACCTTTCTCATCCATCATGGCTCTTTCCCCTAGCTACCCTAAGTTGCAATATTTCTCTATGTTTCCCACCCATTGTCTATTAACACTTCTAACCTTCTTCCTGACTTTTAAACTTTAACGTGTCCTTATTTCTGTTATTATTCATCTCTCATTGCCAAAATGTGAGACTGAAAAGGGTAGAGATTTTTATCTGTTTAATTGAGTTAAATTCCCCATACCTAGAACAATACCTGACATTTAGCAGGCAATCCAAGAAATATCTGTCAAATAAACAGATAAATGATGTTTTCTGGAGAAATTAAAGAGTCCCTGAGAAACATGTTTTGCCCTTAATTTGAAACATCACTTGACAAGCCCCACCCTTTTCTACTCTGCTTTCCATCAGCTTTTTAGCGCCTCAGGCCAAAGGTTCCAATGAGATATCAGAATTTTTTTTTTTTTTTTTGGGGGGGGAGACAGGGTCTCGCTCTTTTGCCCAAGCTTGAATGCGGTGGCATGATCTCAGCTCACTGCAACCTCCACCTCTCAGGTTCAAGCCTTTCTTCTGCTGCAGTGCCCAGAGCGGCTGGGACTATAGGCCTGTGCCACCACACCCAGTTAACTTTTGTAATTTTAGTAGAGAGGGGGTTTCACTATGTTGGGGAGGCTGGTCTTGAACTCCTGGCCTTATGTGATCCGCCCTCCTTGGTCTCCCAAAGTGCTGGGATTACAAACATGAGCCACTGCATCCGGCCAGATATCAAAACAATTAAGGGAAAAAAAAAAGTTAACAGAGGCAGTGTGAGACATAATAAATTAGAAAAGCAAACCAAGAGGTCTGACATCTAACAGAAGTTTGAAAAAGAACAGAGAAAGTGACATATAGAAAATAATAAAAAAAAAAGGCAAGAAAACAGAACTAAAAGAATCTACTTCTAAACTGAAAAACCCACCAAGAACCTAGCATAATGAACAATAAGCATAAAACTTACACCAAAGTACATCACAATGAAATTTCAAAATACCAGAAATAGTTTATAAAAGTATGCGCAGAAACAAACTAAGCCACCTTAAAAGATCAACTCTCAACTTCTCAATAACACTAAAATCCAGAAGACAAAATGACAGTATCTTTTAAAAATACTTTCAACCTATATCCAGCCAAAACCAAATGAAAGGCATTCCCAGACATGGAAGATCTCAAAATATTTAGCTCCCATGCATCCTTTCTAAGATAGCACTAAGAAATTGCTTTACCAAACCAACAAAGAGGAAGAAATGAAATCCATTCAACAGTGTGAAGTAAAGGGTAGACAAAATTGCCTAGAGAGCAACCAGTTCAGAACAGAAAAGTTCCAGGGGGGATTTTTCCTGGGAGTGGGAAGGAGGAAACAGTATTAGAATTTATATGAAAAACAAAAGGATCTGACAATTCTACATGAGATAAAGAAGAGACAGTGCCTTGAAATCTAGGCAAATGTAACAACGAACTGTAAACTACAATAAAAACAAAAAAACAAAAAGTTGTCCGAAAAAGAAAATGCAATTATAGTACACTACTTGGCTTAGCAGTTAACCAAAATATTTATTACTAATTGAAATGATTAAGAAAGAGGTGCCAGGAATATCTGGTGGTGTAAGAGTATTAAATTCTCATCTTCCATAACAAGAAGAGTGTTTCTAAGACTAGGTTTTTTTAAAGTTTAGAAACATATGACTAGAGAATATGGAGTTGAATAACAGAAGAAAAAGCCTAAAAATGTTTGGGAAAGGTAAGGCACAGGTGCATACAGGGCAAGAATTTGTTGTTGCAGTTGCTGCTTCACTGTCACAGCCCTGAAGTAATAAGACTTCTAAAAATCTGTACCTATTAATAGAAATAAAAATGAGGCTAACAGAGAAGGAGGTATGTTTACAAATGCATTCTCTCCACTGCTTAACCACTTCAATTCAATCCATCACTCTCTCTTTTTTTTTTTTTTTTGAGACAGAGTCTCACTCTATCGCCCAGGCTGGAGTGCAGCAGCGCAATCTCTGCTCACTCCAACCTCCACCTCCTGGGTTCAAGCAATTCTCCTGCCTCAGCCTCCTGAGTAGCTGGGATTACAGGCACCCACCATCATGCCCGGCTAATTTTTGTTTCTAGTAAAGACAGGGTTTCACCATTTTGGCCAGGCTGGTCTTGAACTCCTGACCTCAAGTGATCCACCCACCTTGGCCTCCCAAAATGCTAGGATTACAGGCATGAGCCATCGTGCCCGGCCTCAATCATCACTCTCTATGAATAAATATATTTCTGAGCATGGCCCCAAGCCACCTCTCCAGTCTTATTCCCTCCAGTTTTTCTCCTGTAGTCACATTCAAACACAACTTTCATAGCGCTAAACTTTTTTCAAGTAAATATCATGGTTTCATTAGTGTGTACTTTCCACCCTCCCCCACCCTATATACCCACATGCAAACACCTAAGAAAAACTGAAGATAAGCCGGGCATGGTGGCTCATGCCTGTAATCCCAGCACTTTGGGAGGCCCAGGTGGGCGGATCACGAGGTCAGGAGTTCGAGACCAGTCTTGCCAACACGGTGAAACCCTGTGTCTACTAAAAATACAAAAATTGGCTGGGTATGGTGGCGGGCGCCTGTAATCCCAGCCACTCAGGAGGCTGAGACAGGATAATCACTTGAGAATCACTTGAACCGGGGAGGGGGAGGTTGCAGTGAGACGAGATCGCACCACTGCACTCCAGCCTGGGCGACAGAGCAAGATTCGCAAGACTCCAACTTGGTGGGGGGACAAGTTAAACTAAAGATGAACAGGGTGGAAAAGCTTATAAAATTGAGAGATGAGAGGAAAGTCAATAGCTCAGCTAATAAGAGATGCTAGAAAAGCCTACCACCCTCTGAAATTCTGTCAGAAGAAATAATCAGACTCTCCTGCAACATTACCATTTGCTAAATTAGCACAGAAATCACAGGGTTTGATCCAAACAGTGATTCCTTTTTTGGTTTTGCTTATGTAAAAACACACTAAAGGAAATTCTCACTTTTTACAGATTCCTAGGGCCCAGCTCAAGAGTATTTCAATTTTTAGCTGCTCAAGAGAAAAACAGTATCAGCCACCATATCTGCCTTAATGATGTTGCAGAAGCACCATCCAGTGGCAAGAGGAGTAACTGCAACCTCTAGCCACTCTATCAGTTTTCCAGAGCTTGGCTTCTGATGACTTATCAATACACAGTAATTAATGCAGGCAGAACCAACCAACCAAATAACCAAACCATCATTTATAGTTAAATGATCCATTTCTGGGGTTTTTAACAAGTGAAAATCAAGTGTTTTCCACCTACCTGGAAAGGAAATAATCATACACCTGTATCGTTTGAATGCCGCTTAGGCATTGGATTTCAAGACCAGGTTCTAGTCTTAGCTTTGTTACTAACAGTATACATTTTGAAAAGGTCATTTTCCAATATGGGTATTTGTTTCTTTATCTGTATGCAGATGTGAAAATGTAGAATGTGAAAGTTTCCTCTAAAGATCCTTTTGTGTAATAATAGTAACAGCGTAGTTAACATTTTACAATGTGCCTGGCACTGTTAGAAGATCTTTGCATGGATTAACTCATTAAAACCTCAGGATAATCCTAGTTCATAGTATTATTTCCTTTCTGCAAATGAGGAATAAAATAAAAAGTAACAGCAGAAAGGCTGGGCGTGGTGGCTCACACCTGTAATCCCAGCATTTTGGGAGACCAACGTGGGCAGATCACCTGAGGTCAGGAGTTTGAGACCAACCTGGTCAACTGGTGAAACCCCGTCTCTACTAAAAATACAAAAATTAGCTGGGCATGGTGGCAGGCGCCTGTAATCCCAGCTACCAGGGAGGCTGAGGCAGGAGAATCACTTGAACCCAGAAGGCAGAGGTTGCGGTGAGCCGAGATTGCGCCATTGCACTCCAGCCTGGGCAACGAGAGCGAAAATTCGTCATAATAATAGTAACACCAACAACAGCAGCAGCAGCAGCAATAACAGCAGTAATACTAATGTTTACTAGGTAATTACTAAGAGTGCTAAGCATTTCACATATACTGTCTCACTATTCATAAAAATCCTGAGAGTACCAATATGCCTATTTTATAAAACAGGGAGTTCAAGGTAATTTACTTAAAGTTGCAGGATTAACAGATGGCAGAACCAGTATTCAGTACCATGTCTGATTCATACCATGCATGCTTTTAACCTACACTAAGTTCTGTTCATTTTTATTTTTTGAGGTAAAATTCACAGTAAACTGACCACTTTAAAGCGAACAAAAAAAAAGAAAAAATAAAGTGAACAATTCATAATGTTGTGTAACCTCCACCTCTAAATAGTTGCAACATGTTTTCATCACCTCAAAACGACCCCATATCCATTCAGCAGCTTCCCATTCTCCCCTCCCCTCCAGTCCCTGGAAACCACTCATCTGTATTCTGTCTCAGTGGATTTACCTATTTTGGATACTTCATGAAATAGAAGCAAACAACATGTTAGCTTTTGTGTCTGGCTTCTTTCACTTAGTATGTTTAAGGTCCGTCCGTATTATGCAGCACATATTAGTATACCGTTTTTATGACTGAATAATACTCCACTGTATGCGTACACCATAATTTGTCTATCCAATCATCTCCTGATGGAAATCTAAATTGTTTCCACCTTTTGGCTTTTATGAATAGAGCTGTTAAATTCCACCTTTTGGCTTTTATGAATAGAGCTGCTATGAATATGCATATACATGTATTTGAGTATCTGTTTTCAATTCTTTTGGGCATACACAACAGGTGGAACTGCTGAGTCACATGGGAAACCTTAGTTTAACTTTTTAAGGAATTGCCATGGTGGCTGTACCATTTTACATTCACATGAGCAACGTATAAGGGCTCCAATTTCTCCACGTCCTCAATCATACTTGTTACTTTCCTTTTGTGTTTTTAAATAGCCATCCTAGTGGGTAGGAAATGATACCTCATTGTGGTTTTTTATGTGCATTTCTTTAATGACTAATGATGTTGAGAACTTTCCATGTGTTTGTTGATCACTTGTACGTCTTTGAACTCCACAAGTCCTTTGCCCATTTTTTATGAGACAGAGTTTCGCTCTTGTTGCCCAGGCTGGAGTACAATGGTGTAAGCTCAGCTCACCGCAGCCTCAGCCTCCCAAGTAGTTGGGATTACAGGGGACTGCCACCAGACTCAGTTACTTTTTTTTGTATTTTTAGTAGAGATGAGGTTTTGTCATGTTGGACAGGCTGGTCTTGAACTCCTGGCCTCAGGTGATCCACCCTCCTCAGCCTCCCAAAGTGCTGGGATTACAGGCGTGAGCTACCGCATCGGGCCCCTTTGCCCCCCCCCTTTTTTTTTTTTTTTTTTTGGAGACAGTTTTGCTCTTGTTGCCCAGGCTGGAGTGCAATGGTGTGATCTCAGCTCACTGAAACCTCTGCCTCCTGGGTTCAAGTGATTCTCCTATCTCAGCCTCCCAAGTAGCTGGGATTACAGGCATGCGCCACCATGCCCAGCTAATTTTTTTGTATTTTTAGTAGAGACAGGGTTTCTCCATGTTGGTCAGGCTGGTCTCGAACTCTCGACCTCAGGTGATCCACTCGCCTCAGTCTCCCAAAGTGCTGGGGTTACAGGTGTGAGCCACTGTGCCCAGTCTCTTTATATATTTTGGAATCTTAATCTTGATCAGATACATGACTTGCAAATGTTTTCTTCCATTCTGTACCGTCTTTTTACTTCTTTTCTTTTTTTAGAGCTGGAGTGAAAGTTTATTAAAAAGCTTTAGAGCAGGAACAAAGCGAAGGAAAATACACTTGGAAGAAGGTCAAGCTGGTGACCTGAAAGTGCTGTCTTTTTGCATAACTTTTTTTTTTTTTTTTTTGAGACACAGTCTTGCTCTGCCACCCAGGCTGGAGTGCAGTGGCGCAATCTCAGCTCATCACAACCTCTGCCTCCCAGATCAAGCGATTCTCCTGCCTCAACCTCCCAAGTAGCCAGAATACCAGGCGCGCGTCACCACACCCAGCTAATTTTTTTTATTTTTAGTAGAGATGAGGTTTTACCATGTTGGTCAGGCTGGTCTCAAACTCCTGCCCTCAAGTGATCCACCCGCCTCTGCCTCCCAAAGTGCTGGGATTACAGGCGTGAGTCACTGCCCCCGGCCTGTTGTTTCACTTTAATATGCCCTTTGATGCACAAGAGTTCATTTTGATGAAGTCCAATTATTTTATCCATTATTCCTTTTGCCACATGCTGTAGCTCCACTCATTTTGATTTCTGAAATGGGTTGAGATGGAAGAAGTTCCTTGATACTGAAAAATTCTGGGTGACAGAATCAAAGCTAAATTGAACTTTTGCCAACTACAACTAAGAGACTAGTTGTAACTGGGGATAATACAAGCATTTCTAGTACAATGCAATATACACATTCCTAAATAACCCTTTAGTTCTGCAAAATCACAAATTAAAAATAATCAGGCTTATAAGAAAAGTTAGGTTTGAGGTAGTTACTCATAAGCAACTTTGTCCAGAAAACTAAAAATACTAGCACTATTAAAAATACATGAATTCTTAATAAAGAAGCAACCATAAGTATCGAATTTTACCCTTAAAAAAGATGAAGGTAACTCGATGAAAAGGGATATAACGACTGAAACTGAAGGGGTAAAATGTACAAAAATTACATAGAACCTTATAAACTTCCCTTGGCCAAACTGTACCAATGGCAAGGCTGAGGGATGAATTCCATGTGCACACTTTTGTATTCCTCTGGGACATACTGCTGCAATCAACTGTAATAATAATGTACTTGGTATACCATGTACCAAAAACACGTACCATGTACCAAAACATGGTGTACCATGTACCAAAACATAATACACTAGGGAAAAGCACATATGACCCAACATGATTTCCTCATTATTGCGATATCATTCACTTTTTAACAATTGGCTATAAGCTAATTCACATTATAGTAACATGAGTTTCAGTAGGGTAAACCACACTTACTACACACTTGGCAATGAATAAGGCAAAGTCCTTCTGTTGGGGGAACTTATGAAAGGGTATTACCCATTCCCCCCAATTTCAAATCTCTGATGTTAGTAATAATAAATCCTATGAACAAGAACAGGAGGAAGAGCTATCTTATATGAGGTGGTCAAGGAATGACGCACTGAGAGATATTTGAGCAAAGACCTTAAGGTAAGGGAACAGGCCATGTGACTATTTGGGGAGAGTGTTCCAGGCAGAGAAAATAACAAGTACAATGGATTTGACATGCAAATATGTTTGGCATGTTCAAGAAACACAGGGAGCATTTTGAGCAGAGTGATGTGAGCCTTCTAATCCATGAATACGGTATAGCTCTCTTTATTTGGGCTGTCTTTAGTTCTCTCAGCGATATTTTGTAGTTTTCCATGTCTAAGCCTTGCATATATTTTTAAAATTTATCCCCATTTCATTTTCATTTGTTGGATGCTATTGTAAATAATATATTTTTACATTTCATTTTCTCATTGTTTGCTGCTAAACACAGAACTCCAATTGATTAAGCAGGTGCAGCTGCTCACGCCTGTAATCCCAGCACTTTGTGGGGCCGGCGTGGGCAGATCACTTGAGGCCAGGAGTTCGAGACCAGCCTGGCCAACACAGCAAAACCCAGTCTCTACTAAAGATACAAAAAATTAGCCCAGTGTGGTGGCACACACCTGTAATCCCAGCTACTAGCATACAAAAAATTAACCGGGTGTGGTGGCACACACTTGTAATCCCGGCTACTGCAGAGGCTGTGGCATAAGAATTGCTAGAACCTGGGAGGCGGAGGTTGCAGTGAGCTGATATGGTGCCACTGCACTCCAGCCTGGGTGACAGAGTGAGACAAAAGGAAAGTACAGGGAAGGAAAGGAGAAAGGAGGGGAAGGTTTTGGGGGAGGGGAGGGAAGAGGGGAAAGCTGAGGGGGAAGGGAGGGGAGGGGAGAGAAGAGAGAAAAGAGAAAAAAGAAAAATAATACAATTGGTTTTGGTACACTGACCTTGTATCCTGCAACCTGTTACATTCACTTATTAATTCTAGTTGCTCTTTTTTTGTGGAGAAGGTAGGTTATTTAGGATTTTCTATGTATATAACAACACAGTCTAAATAAAGGCACGTTTACATCTTCTGACTTATTTCTCTTGCTTTATTTTATTATCTACAACCTCTAATATACTGTTGTTCTTTATTTGACCTTAGGAAGCTCTAGACTAAATGCTCTGCCATTAAAGTGTGTTAACTGTACAAAATTTAGCACATTAAACAAATGTTCCTGTTCCTAGATTCCTGAGTTATCATGAGGTGTATTTCATCAAATGCTTTGTCTATGCCTACTATGATGGTATGATTTTTCTTCTTTACTCCATTAAGGCAGCTAATTACTTTGATTTTAAATGTGAAACCAACCTTGCATTCCTGGAATAAAGTCCATTTGAGTCATGATGTATTATTCTTTTCATAAATTCCTGGATTTGGTTTGCAATTATTTAGTTAATAATTATTATGTTCTTGAAAAAAATCTCTATGTTCATTAGGGATAGGTCATATCTTTAGTTTTAGTATCCAAGACAAGGCTGATCCCATAAAACAACTTGGAAAGCATACCCTCTTGCATTTATTGGAAGAGTTTAAGATTCATATTGTTTCTTCTTTAAACATTTGATATAAATCACCAGTGAAGCCATTTGGGCCTGAGGTTTCTTTCAGAAAGGTTTTAAATTAAGATCTCATTTCTTAAATATATGTCTACTTATTCTATCAATTACTAAGAGAGGACTGTTAAAATATCCAACTATACAATTATAGATTATTTCTCCTTCCAATTCTGTCAGTTTTTGCCTCAAGTATTTTGATATTCTGTTATTAGGTATATATGACAAACTGACCCCTTTATCATTATAAAAAGATCCTCTTTATTTCTAGAAATATACTCCTTGCTCTAAAATCTACCTTGTCTAATATTAATATAGCACTCCAACTTTAAGATTTGGTCGCTGATTAGATGTGCCCAGTATATTTTTTAGTAGTTTCTCTAAGGCTCATAATAAACATCGTAACTAGAACCATCTACCTCCAAATGGTATTATACCACTTTTAACATAATATAAGAACCTTACAGAATTATACTTCCATTTTTTCCCCTTCCCATCATTGGGCTATTATTGTTTTTTAAAATTTCTTTGTTACACTTCTACATTTTACTGCTAAGTGCTATAAATCCTATAAAACATTAAAATATTTTACTGTAAACAATTATCTTTTAAATAAATTAAAAATTGAGAAGAAATATTTTCTATTTCCACACATTTTTACCATTTCCTGTCATCTTCATTCCTTTTGTGTAAGTTTCGATTTCCATCCGGAATAATTTTTTTCAGGCTAAAACACTTCCTTTAACATTCCTTAAAAGCACAGGTAAAAAATTCTCTCAGCTTTTGTCTGTCTGAAAAATGTATTTTGCCTTTATTAATGATATTTTTGTCAGGAATGAATTCTAAATTGATAGCTTTTCCTTTCTGAACTTAAATATTACTCCATTGTCTTGCGGCTTACATTGTTTCCTTTTTTAAATTCCTTTTTTGAAAGTAAATTTAAGAAACTTTTTATTTCGAAATAACTTTCCAGAGAAGTTGAAAAAATAGTACGCAGTTCACAAATACCTCTTTATCCAACTTCTCCTGATGTTAATAACTTATATAACCCAAGTACGTCAATCAGAAACAGGAAAATAACATTGGTGCAATTAACTAAACTACAAACCTAATTCGCCAGATTTAACTTTTTTTATGTTTCAGGATCCAATTCAGGTTCCCACATTGCATTTAGCTGTATGTCTCCTTAGTCTCCTCCAACTTAAGACAGTCCCTCAGTCTTTCCCTTTCTTTCATGACCTTCATACATTTAACAGTCAGGTATTCCATAGAATTTCCCTCAATTTAGGTTTGTTTGCATTTTGGGGTGGAGGAGTCAGGAATGTCACAGAACATCACAGATATGAAGTTTTACCTTTCTCAGTTGATCATATCAGGGAGTACAAACTATGAACAGATCTATTACTCCATTTTCACGCTGCTGAGAAAGACATACCCAAGGCTGGGTAATTTACTATTGAAAGAGGTTTAATGGACTTACATTTCACATGGCTGGGGAGGCCTCACAATCAAGGCAGAAGGCAAGGAAGAGCAAGTCACATCTTACATGGATGGCAACAGGCAAAGAGAGAGCTTGTGCAGGGAAACTTCCATTTTTAAAACCGTCAGATCTCATGAGACTTATTCACTATCACAGGAAAGACCCGTCCCCATGATTCAATTACCTCCCACCAGGTTCCTCCCACAACATGTGGGACTGTGGGAATTACAATTCAAGATGAGATTTGGGTGGGGACACAGCCAAACCATATCAACAGCCAGACCATATCAACAGGTCTTATTACTAGTGCTATTAACCCTGAATACACTTCAAATACTTGGTTAAGGTGGTATCTACAGAGTTTCTCTCTATTGCAAATTTACTGTCTTCCACTTGGTAATTAATAAATTTCTTGGGAGTCAAGCGCCTGTAATGCCATTGCTTTGGGAGGCCAGGAGTTAAGAGACCAGCCTGGGCAACAACATATAGCAAGATCCCATCTCTACAAACAAAACACAAAACAAAACAAAACACTAGCCAGGTGTGGTAGTGTGTGACTGTAGTTCCAACTATTTAGGATGAGCAGGAGGATCACTTGAGCCCAAGAGTTCAAGGTTACAGTGAACCATGATTGTGTCACTGTACTCCTGTGTACATTTGATGAATAATGGTTAGGTATTGCATAGAATTTCCCTCAATTTAGGTTTGTTTGCATTTGGGGGTGGAGAAGTCAGGAATGTATCACGACAAAAAAAAATTATTGGAGAAGATCCTTTCAGACTAAATAATTATCATGTTTCTCATCATATTTTTGCCCACTGATTTTACATTCCATTCCTGGCTCCTGCCGCAACAATTTTTAGTGTAGTATTTGCCTAACAGTGATTCGGTGTTTCTCTCATTCTTTTTACAGTTCTTAATTGAAATTCTGCTTTTGCAAGTTGTTTCTTCCACCCCATTCATTTGTTTATTCAATTATTTATTTTTGCTACTATGGACTCAAAGATATTTTATTCTATTGGTTTTAATTCAATACTACCATTATTTCATTCCAGCTCTGGCCATTAACAGCTCCTTCAAGCCAGCTCCTGTGTACTTCTAACATGTCCCATCCTTTTCTGAGCACTTCTTTGTTTTCTAGAATCACAAGATGTTCCAGGATCATTCTGTATTTCTCCTACCCCAGCTCTGAAATAAACAAGTTCTTCAGGGGCCCTAGTTCCTTTTATTAAGAAATTGTATTTAAGCCGGGAGCAGTGGCTCACATCTATAATCCCAGCACTTTGGGAGGCTGAGGCAGGTGGATGGCTTGAGCCCAGGAGTTCAGCCTGGGCAACATAATGAGACCTCGTCTCTACAAAAAATGCAAAATTTAGCCAGGCATGGTGGCACATGCCTGTAGTCCCAGCTACTAGGGAGGCTAAGGCAAGAGGATCACTTGAGCCCATGAAGTTGAGGCTTCAGTGAGTTGTGATCCCACCACTGCACTCCAGCCTGGGTGACAGAGTGAGACTCTGTCAAAAAAGGAAAAGAAAGAAGAGAAAAGGGAGGGAGAAAAGGGAGGAGGGATGGAGGAAAGAATTGTATTTATAGTCCAAGATCTGGGCATTAAGTGTCTTTACTGCTACCTCAGCATCATTTCTTCTATGACTTCCCAGCAGAGAGAGGAAATATTTACATTTACGTATCTATATTGAACCATGAGTTCATACTGATACCTCCAATTCCAATCCAATACCACAGTTCATTCTAGCCTTCTTCCTTTCAACTTCTTTCTTCAACAACGAGAAACCCAGCTGTCATTATCTACAAATTTTTACTTAAATGTTTAATCCTAGTATGTGTATATAGTGTGTGTGTGTGTGTGTGTGTGTGTGTGTTTGTGTGTGTGTGTTTCAAACTTGCTAGCTCCTACCCCCACTCCGTGAGGAACCAGATTTGCTAACTAGAATAAAATACATGTATGTGGTTCTTTTTATCTTTAGCCTTACAGTATGTAGTTCACAAAAAAATTTTTTGAGATGGAGTCTTGCTCTGTTGCCCAGCCTGGAGTGTAATGGCACAATCTCAGCTCGCCACAACCTCCGCCTCCTAGGTTCAAGCAATTCTCATGCCTCAGCCTCCAGAGTAGCTGGGACTACAGGTGGGCACCACCATACTCAGCTAATTTTTGTATTTGTAGTAGAGGCAGGGTTTTATCATGTCACCAGAATGGTCTTGAATTCCTGACCTCAGGATCTGCCCACCTTGGCCTCCCAAAGTGCTGAGATTACAGGTGTAAGCCACCACACCTGGCCAAGTCAAAATATTTTCCAAAGTTTCTTTTATTCTTTTATTCTTCCTCAGTGTGATTATGCTGTTCATTTGTTTGGCTTGCAGTGTTTCTGAGAAAAAAGTCAACAGCTCCTATCTTTGCTCCTCTATATAATATGTTCTTTTTTTACTCTGGCTTTTAGTAACTTGACTAGGATGTGCCTCAATGTGATTTTCTTCGTATCTACCCTACCTAGGTTCATCAGGTCTATAGCCTTCATCATATGTGGAAACTCTAGCTGGCCATTATTTCTTCATACTTTTTCCGCAACCCCTCCCCTCTTTTCCTAGACTCCAATTACATGTATCACCTCAGAAATCACCCTAGTCCTGCCTACTGAGCAGTAAATACCTGTCAAAAATCAGCTGACCAGAAATCTAAAGTTTTATTTCTGGATTCTCAATTCTATTCCACTGATCTGTACATCTGTTCTCAGGCTAGCACCACACTGTCTTATTACCACAGCTTTCTTTTAAGCACTGAAATCAGGAAATTTGAGGCTTCCAACTTTTTCTTTTTCAAGACTGTTTTCATTATACAGGGTCCTCTGTATTTCCATATGAATTTTAGGAGCCATATGTCAATTTCTGTAATCAAAATTTTGATAGGAATTGCATTGACTCTATAGAGCAATTTGGGTAGCATGGCCATCTTAACAATATTAAGTCTTCTGGTCTACAGACATTGGATGCCCTTCCATTTACTTAGATCTTTTAAAATTTCCTTCAACAATGCTTTCTAGTTTTCATTAAGTCTTATACTTCTTGTGTTAAATCTATTCCTAGGTATTCTTTTTGATGCTACTGTAAATGGAATTGTCTTACTTTAATTTTTGGATGATTCACTGCTAGTGTACAGCTGATTTTTGTATATCTCATCTACAGACCTTTACCTTTTTTATTTATTTTTTTTTAGACGGAGTCTCGTTCTGTCGCCCAGGCTGGAGTGCAGTGGCGCGATCTTGGCTCGCTGCAAACCCCGCCTCCCGGGACCAAGTGACTCTCCTGCCTCAGTCTCCTGAGTACCTGGGATTACAGGTGAGTGCCACAACATCCAACTAATTTTTTGTATTTTTAACAGAGACGGAGTTTCACTGTGTTAGCCAGAATAGTCTCTGTCTCCTGACCTCGTGATCCGCCCACCTCAGCCTCCCAAAGTGCTGGGATTACAGGCCTGAGCCACTGTGCCCAGCCTCCCATCTACAGACTTTAAGCAGGGTAGCAATTCTATTCTGAAGTTCCTGCACATTATACGGCATTAAAATTGTATTACAAATTAAAACAAAAGTCATTCTAATAAAAAAGTCATCCAAGTAAACAAAAGAAGCTGACATTACACAGTAATGTATCATAAATTCTTAATGCCTAAAAACTGTTGAATCAATAGATGTAAGTCAGAATAAAGAAAGTCTTGTTTGTTACGCATTATTTTAGAAAGATTCATAAGGTCATTAAGATTCTCAGAAATCTGATGAATTCCACAGTACCAGCTAATGGACAATAATACAAAAGCAAGAGAAGCAACACCACAAAAGCAGGAAATTAATGTGTTTCTCTATGCACAAAAGATGTGTTGACTTTCACACTCCACCAGAATAAGAAATTTTCTCATTTGACAATTTAAAATTTCCTTTAATATCTATATTTGTAATACACATGTACTTTTAACAAAAAAATAAACAATTTACATTTCACACGATTTTTTAAAAAATCAAATGCTTTGAAAAAGTAAAACACAATCATGTCTGAATTATTTCGAATTCAAAATTAGTGTAGTAGAAATTAATGCAGATTTCACAAAAGTCCTAAGATGTATATCCAGAGGTGGTTTTAAATTTGGCATGTGTAATTAATTCCTTGAGTTCCTAATGAATTCCTTCATTTCTTTTATTTCTGAGCTCTCTTTATAGTGCTATTTTGACACTTTTCTGTTTTTTTTTTTTTCTCTTTTTTTTTCCTCGCTCTTGTCCCCCAGGCTGGAGTGCAATGGTGTGATCTCGGCTCACTGCAACTTCCGCCTCCCGGGTTCAAGTGTTTCTCCTGCCTCAGCCTCCCGAGTAGCTGGGATTACAGGCGCCTGCCACCACGCCCAGCTAATTTTTGTATTTTTAGTAGAGATGGGGTTTCACCATGTTGGCCAGGCTGGTCTTGAACTCCTGACCTCAGGTGATCTGCCCGCCTCTACCTTCCAAAGTGCTGGGATTACAGGCGTGAGCCACCGTGCCTGGCCTCTTTTGACACTTTTCTAAATATAGGAGAAACTTTTTTGTGTAAAAGAACTGAGTAAGTAGATTCTGCGATGAAACCCCATTTTGCCGCTTTTGCTGTCACCTCCACTATCTAATACTTTGGGGGCACCTTCCAAAATAAGGTGTTCTCCAGAACATGGCAGTATCTTATGTCCTTATCAGGAGGAGATCATTGAGAGTAATCCTGCCTCAAATAACTACCTGGATTCCTACAAAGCTACTCCCAAAAAATTGTGATGGTGTCAGGTTACAAACTACACACCAATAAGCAAATACAAGTTTAATGTCAACAGTAGATTCACTTTCAGAATTAAGAAAAGCAGTACAGAAGGTAGTAATTAAGAGAATTCAGAAAAACATGGTCTCTGGCTCTGCCACATTCTAGCTTTGTGGCATCAGGTGAAATTTTAACTTCTCCAGGTCTCTGTTTTCCCCACCTACAGTGGGTATTATCATTTCTATCTCCAATATGTTATGGGGATTAAATGAGATCATGTGTAGGAAGCCTAGGACAGGGCCTGGGTACATAAACAGCCCTCAATTAAGCTATTAAATTCTCTTGCTTCTGGATACTACTCTAGCTACTCAATTTCAGCCTTCTCCCAATCCATCCCTTTGCCACTAGTGAGCCAAATGTCTGCCTTCTTTTTGGCCTGCCCTTATTGATACACCTCCCTGATCCAGCCCAAACTGTATCCCAAACACCATGACTCTCAGGTCAGCAACTCTATTCTCAATTTTCTCAGAACCTGCTTACTTATCTCCTAACCCCCTGCTTGTCTTCCACCCCCTAACCCTCCACCTTTTAAGGACATTTGTAAGTTTTCATATTTTTCTACATCACTGAAAAATGAATTCAGATATTATCCTTAAAGGCCACCAAATCCTCAGAATTCAAGACTTGTTGATTAACTGTTTCAAATTTATTAGTGCATAATGCTTACTTCCCACATAATGTCATGACAACTTGTCCCTTGGTCATGATTATTCTGTATTAGAAGAAACATAACCACTTTAAATTCCTGCTGATTTGTTTACCTCCGTCCTTCTCCCCTTCTAGCTTTCAGTTCAGGTTTTATGTTTTCCTTTTAAAAAATTTTGTAAAACCTTTCAAGCAAACTGTTCTTGAGCTTTTTTTAATCAGAGAGACAAAACATCTGCTTAAACAAGTTAAACCTGTGCTTATCCATTCAAGACCCCTCCAGTCAAAGCACAAAAACAGTTCATTCCAACAAAGAGGGAGGAGGTGGGTGGGAAGTATCTTCAAACAGTATCGGGCAATACATGACTTAATGGAAGAGATAAGGACTGTTCTCCCTGTTGGAGAAAGAAAGAATAGCTCTACTTTTGGTACTAAAGAATTTAGGGTACAATGATTTGCTAAGAAAGTATGACTGGGAAAAAAAGAGACAGAAAGGTACTAGGAAAAATTGAACACAATGTTCTTTAATTCCTTACCTATATTTTACCTTCAACTTATCTCACCTTGGCATCTTTTGTATTTTGCTCTCCAGGAAGCCTGTACTCTGATAATACTCCATCTAGCTGCTCCAAAATTTAGAACCAGTCCAGTCTCTCCAAGAGCTACCAATTAATCTTATTTTCTACTCCCAAGAAATGTGAGAGAAGAACTTCGACCTTTCCCAAGTTTCTGTCCCTCCCAAAAGTCCTTGGCTTTTATTACTGTTTTTATTAACATTTATAGTGCTTACTATATGCCAGACCCGTTCCAAGCATTTTACAAGCATTTACTCGTTCGATCCTCATAACAGCTCTTAAGGAGTGTTATAGATGAGAAAAACGAAGGCAGAAGGAAGTTAAGTAACTTATTCAGGCACACGAGGTTAATAAGTGACATGAGTTCGACTCCAGATCCCATGCTCTTAACTATGAATGCTCCTTCTCACTTTTTTCAACATTTAAAGGCCAGGTGCAGTGGCTCACGCCTGTAATCCCAGCACTTTGGGAGACCAAGGCGGGTGGATCACCTGAGGTCAGGAGTTTGAGACTAGCCTGGCTAACATGGTAAAACCCCATCTCTACCAAAAATACAAAAATTAGCTGGGCGTGGTGGCAGATGCCTGTAATCCCAGCTACTCGGGAGGCTGAGGCAGGAGAACTGCTTGAACGCAGAAGGCAGAGGTTGCAGTGAGCCAAGATCATGCCACTGCACTCCAGCCTGAGCGACAAGAGTGAATCTCCATCTCAAAAAAATAAAATATTAAAATTAAAAAAATAAAATACTTTAAAAGTACACTTCTCACCGTTTCTAGGCCCTCAATTCCACAATCACTTGCTTCCAATCCCAACTATACAATTTGATTAGAGATAAGCTGTTTAAAATATTTTAAGTCATCTCTAATTTGCCTTCATTCCACCATTTATAATCTAGAAAGTTCTCAAATCTGTTTCATTCAAAATACTCTTTGTAAGGGTCTTTTCTCCACTACCATACCATCATCTCAGGCTCAGATTACCAATGACCTCCAAGGCAATCTTCCTGATACTGTCTCCTCTTCTGTATCATCCTGCATTTTCTCATCATTCTGATCTTAATATAAGATGCCTTTCATCATGTCAATCTTGCTGACGTTTCTACTAGACAAAGTCCAAATTCCGTTGCCAGTTTTTCACAGCACTCCACATAAACTGCCCCTGGTCTACATATTCAACCTGATTTCTCATTGCTCTAAAATATATAACATCCTCTAAACTGTAATCAATGTACCCATTGTAATCTCCCTTTATTTATATTGATCAACTAACTGCCTAGAAACCCTCCGATTCTATTCAGTCAAATCTTATCTACATCCATTTTTAGTTTTCTTCATAACACTTGAGCTCGAATCATTCCCTTCTGTACTTTTTCCTCCCTTTACTACAGTGTAATATGGCAACCAGACTAGGAATTGGAAGGTAACTGTGGAGTCCTTTCTTATTTATGCAGTGTTCATAGCTGACTGTAACTATCTGATGCTCTTAGCACTGTATTTACTCTTCTGTTTTCTTATCTATGCTGCCAAGCTCTGAAAGCCTACAAACTACATTTCCCAGACTCCCTTGCAAGCTGAGTTCTGGGTAGGTTCTGCCAATGAAAGGAACTGGCAGAAAACTAAAAAGTAGGACAAAAGGAAAATCCATCTGATCCTGGTGACAGCTACAACATAGTCAGTGGCTGTGGCTTGAGCTCATAGGCAACACAATGGTGGGAAGCCCAGTACAATGGCAATAGCCCAATAGTTTTACCAGTAGTAACAACGAGAACAGTTCTTGCTTAATCAGCAAAGGGATACCTCTAGCAGCTCAGCAACAAGTACAGGTTTAGGGAGATCCAGTCCAGACAAAACAGCAGTTTGCTGATCTCTGGTTAATAGCCCCTTCTCCCATTTGTTCCTCTAGCCCTTCCATCACTTTTGAAACAATTCCTGCATTAAATCCTTCTCTACTTTTAAAATCAACAACACTATTCCCAAATCAAACCTGAAGTGGTTCCTGTTTTTCTGATGGGACACTAACTACCAATACACACCAAATCTCTTACTCTCTCAAGCTTAAGAGATAAGCTTGAGATAAATCTCATCACTGAAACTTGGATCAAATCTATTACATAGAAGCAATGAAAGAAGTACACCAATGCTTCTCAAATTTTTTGTTCTGCAAACTCCTTTACACTCCTCAAGTTCCTGAGGATCTCAACAAACTTTTGTGTAGGTTCTATAAATTCATATTTACCATATTACAAATTAAAACTAAGAAAACAATTTAAGTATTTAATGCAATTTAAAATAAATCCAATCCATGTTAACATAAATGACATTTTGTTAAAAATTACTATATTTTCCAAAACAAAACTGCAACTTTAATGTTTAGCTTAATAGATAACACTTGGATTATACCTGCTTCTGCATCCAATTTATTGTAATATGCTGTTTTGGCTGATGAAGCATACAAAGAATATGAAGTATATGAAGAAAATCTAGCTACAAACAGATATGTTGCTAGAAAAGGGAGGAGTATTTTAAGAACCTATTCAGATAATCCTAAACATTATTCTTCAACACTACAAAGCTCAGCAAGTAATTTCTTTTTTTCTTCTTTTTTTGCATGAGTCACAAGGAACAAGCAGTAATTTCTTAAACATTAGTTGCAAGGTAGAATCTGAAACCCTGTCAATGGTGTTTTCATGTTCTATTATTATTTTTATTATTATTATTATATATGTATTTTTTAGATGGAGTCTCACTCTGTCGCCAGGCTGGAATGCAGTAATTTGATCTCAGCTCACTGCAACCCCCACCTCCCGTGTTCAAGTGATTTTCCTGCCTCAGCCTCCCGAGTAGCTGAGAATACAGGTGGGTGCCACCATGCCCAGCTAATTTTTGTATTTTTAGTAGAGACCAGTTTCACCATGTTGGCCAGGATGGTCTCAATCTCTTGATCTCATGATCCAGCCGCCTCGGCCTCCCAAAGTGCTGGGATTACAGGCGTGAGCCACCGCACCCAGCCATGTTCTATTATATTAAAATCCATCAGTTACTTTGCACTCTGAATAGGTCTTTTTATCTGCGCAATTTTATAACAGCATGTATTGGTCATTTGGAAATTAATAGTTCATTAACACAGTTCTTCCAAATGTTGGCGTATTTCATTATACAATATGAAAAAAATAATATTATCACCATGGACCTCATCAAGAGAGTATGTACAGAAAAGCTGTCACACTCACAGCAGCAGACACAAGTTTTCCAAATATATTTTATTTATTTATTTTTTTAAGAGACTGAGTCTTGCTCTGTCACCCAGGCTGTAGTGCAGTAGTGTAATCACAGCTCACTTCAGGCTCAAACTCCCAGGCTCAAACAATCCTCCCGCTTCAGCCTCTTGGGTAGCTGGAATTACAGGCAAGAGTGACCTTGACTGGCTCAAAATTCCAAACTTCCTTTTTTTTTTTTTTGAGATGAAGTCTCACTCTGTCACCCAGGCTGGAGTTGCAGTGGTGCCATCTTGGCTCACCGCAACCTCTGCCTCCCAGGTTCAAGCAATTCTCCTGCCTCAGTCTCCCAAGTAGCTGGGATTACAGGTGCCCACCATCATGTCTGGCTAATTTTTGTATTTTTAGTAGAGATGGGGTTTCACCATGTTGGCCATGCTGGTCTTGAACTCCTGACCTCAGGCGATCCACCCGCCTTGGCCTCCCAAAGTGTTGGGATTACAGGAGTGGGCCACCGCGCCTGGCCAAAATTCCAATCTTAAAAGCATAAATTTTATCAGTGGCAACAAATACTGTCACTTCATTCATTCAAGACAGTATCTGCCAAGGACTCAAGTCTGAATAACCATAGTTTGCCAGTTGTTCTTTCAAGGATAAATGATGTTCTATAAAAATGGTGGCCAATCCAAACAATTTCACAAGTGCCTTTGCTTGAGACAACCATCACTGTCTCAAAACGAGGCAGAAGTGCTTTATATTTACCTCCCATTTCATCATACACCAAAAAGATATATGCTCAAAGGTCAAGATTTAACAAAAATTAATTCTACTTCATCAAGGATATTCTTGAGGAAAATTATTTTAGTTTTCTCTTGTGAGTACATGGTGGTAAATACAATGACTACTAGTCCAGCTTGGTTCCATTGTCTTGATTCATGCTAAGGTCAGCAATTTTACATACCATTGCTTCTGTACCATCAGTACAAGCATCAACATAGTGAAAAAGGCAAATGTCTTAGAATTATTATGAAAAGTTTTGACCTTCTGGTCAAAAAAACTCCCTAGGTGGTGGTCAGTGGGGATCCACATGTTGAAAACCACTGAGAAACAATTACATTTGGTGAGAATTTACATGCCATACAATGGGATGCTTCTATTATGTATTCATTTGCTCCTTGCAATAATCTTAAAAGACATTTTTTAAACTGTAAGAAAATTTAGGTGGAACCAAAAGACAAATCCAAATGTTTCTATAATTACAAAGCTTTCCATCGCTATGTTTAAGATTTGGCTCTGATATATTTGTCATATTATCAAGGGCAGGTCATTAAACTCTGCTTCCTTACCTGTAAAATGATAATAGTTACCTACATAGCTTGCCCTCTTCATAATATTGTACAAGGTTCACAAGAAGGAAAACAGTACTCTAAAATTTTTCTTAAACTATTTTAAGTATGATGAAACGAACAAAACTCAATTCCGAGAATAAAAAAATCCTTGAGGTTCAAAAAGATAGTCACTTTAAGTGACTGTGAAAATGTACCTATGTTTTAAAACAGGTGAAAAACAGATAAAACCAGATTTAATACTACTTCACTGAAATCACACAACTACTTGATTTAATCTAGTCTTTTCCCACCATTTCCTTTTGAGCTCTCAAGCATATCTGCCTGTAGCAAGTTCTCATCTGCACACGTCCTAGAAAAGCCAAAAGCAAATTCTCTACTCTGAAAAACTGAGGCCAAGAAGGCCACATCCTGTGATAAAGCCAAGGACGCATAATTTCAAGTCCAAGGATCTCTAGAAGAATTCGTGTAGCTGCACATCCATTATAGCTCAATATAACACAATGCAGAGTGAATATAAATCTAAGACTGACACACACACACCTCCCCCAAACCAAGATTATTGTCAAAAGTATCGGAGGCCAGGTGCGATGGCTCACGCCTGTAATCCCAGCACTTTGGGAAGCCGGGGAGGGCAGATCACTTGAGGTCAGGAGCTCGAGAGCAGCCTGGCCAACCATGGCGAAACCTCATCTCTATTAAAAACACAAAAATTAGTGGGGCATGGTGGCACGTGCCTGTAGTCCCAGCTACTTGGGAGGCTGAGGCAGAAGAATCACTTAAACCTGAGAGGTGAAGGCTGCAGTGAGATGAGATCATGCCACTGCTCTCCAGCCGGGGCAACAGAGTGAGACCCCATCTCAAAAAAAAAAGTATCTGAGTAGTTGTTTTTCCTTTTTTCTTTTTTTTTGGGGGGTAGGGGGGCAGAGTCTCGCTCTGCCGCCCAGACTGGAGTGCAGTGGTGCGATCTGGGCTCACTGCAACCTCCACTTCCTGGGTTCAAGTGATTCTCCTGCCTCAGCCTCCCAAGTTGCTGGGATTACAGGCGCCCACCACCATGCCCAGCTAATTTTTGTATTTTTAGTAGAGACAGGGTTTCACCACATTGGCCAGGCTGGTCTCAAACTCCTGACCTTGTGATCCTCCCACAGTGCTGGGATTACAGGTGTGAGCCACCAAGCCCAGCCAGTTGAAGTTTTTTTAAATGCCCTTCTATTATCCTCAGGATATGTCTCAAAAAGTTTAAATTATAGAAAAAAATCTGTAAATCCCAAAGAACACTACAACTCAGCATTAATCCTAAAACTGTTGGGGTTATCTCTTTTACTAGTGGGAAACATGCAGTTTACTGTGCAACTAGCCAAAGGCCTGCTAATGCTGATGGGACCATTAGCCTCAACCATGGTTCTACTGCAGAAATGAAAACCACCTTACCAAAGCCAACTTTTTGGGCATTAAAATTTCAAAGCATCTCAATGCTGTTCAGAGGGCAAATAGGCTATATTAGACATTAAGAAAGAAATTATCAGTTGAAATTAAGAATATATATGTGAGAGATTACAGAAAAGCTTAAGACAAACTAGAAATTCTTAAATTCAAACTGCCACTAAAATGGAAGGCAGTGCATCAGTAGTTCCTGAGCTATGTGTACTGTATTCTCTCCCCCACGAAGAGATAATCTGCATGAAAACAATAAGTGAAACATTTTTGAAACAGCTCTTTCATCTGACTTCTACAGAAGAGGTAAAATGTGTCATCACTAAATTTGCTTAGCTGGTTTTAAGCCTTGCCCACAACGTCTGAGGAAATGACTCAGCAAGACTCAGCCCATATGTTAACCAGAGTTAAGCGATTAACACAATTAAAGTTAAGCACACATTTCTCAAACACGCCCAATTTACAGATAAAGAAAGAGGCTCAGAGTTTAAATGACTTGCTCAAGCTCACAAACCAAATTAACTATGATCAGAACTCTGTCTCTTGGCTCAGGATTGTCTGATGTATTTGGCACTAAAAAGATCACCTCAAAAAAAAAATTAAAGGCTCACTGTCACAGTCACTGACAGGTATTTTCACATATAATCGCTCATAATCCTTAAAGATTAAATAGTATACAGTAAGAGTTTAAACACATCTTTGATAAGTCTTTAATTAGAAAATTCCAACTCCAATCCATTTTCCACATTTTCTGGGCCAACCATCTTTTAAAAATTGAATCTAACCATGTCACATCCCTGCTCAAACCTTCCATGGAATTCGAATCCTTAGCATGGACTACCAGGCTCTGCACAATCTGGCTCAAACCCACGTCTTCAACATCTATTGCTTCTGCTAGCCTCACAAGTCACATTTGCAACACACATCATCTTTCAGTTCTTTGAACTCAAAAAGCTCCTTTACTAAGGACCTTTTTGTGCCCACTTCCTCTGCCTGGAATGATGTTCTTCTACCTAACTTCTAATCATATCTCATGTAGCAGTATAAATGTCATTTCCCCAGGACAGCATTCTCTAGGCCACCTGACCATCCTCTGAAATAGATTAATTAATAACCTGTTTATTCTCATTTTACTAACTAGAGAACTACTCTGGTTTGATGTTTCTGTTTACTTGATGAACATATATCAACCCCCCAGCAAATTCTGCTGCAAGTATGGTGACCATAAGTCTGTTTGACCTCAAGTCTTCATTTATGATTGGTGTTTCCAAACATCGTGTACAAATCTACTGTCTTAGACTTTACATTTTTAACAAAGTTGCATCAAAATAAGTATTGATGGTTTCACAGACATTGAATTGGTGTTTCTAACTTCTGACAAGGTCTTACACAGTAGTCATGTGAGATGTGCATTGTAAACAGCTATCACATTTTAACACATGATTAAATCTAACAAGATGACTAGTGGTAGTCTGCCTCTTTTCTTAACCCTTTACAAATTTGAAACAATTGACATTTTCCTTTTTAGGACACCAAGTCAATATCAAGTATGGTAACAGGCAGCTAACTCCCTCCTTCAGGTGTTGACAGTTGCTGGAAGGAGAATATTCAAGGCTGTTGCCCCCATCCATCATCTGTGCCATGGCCAGTTCCTCAGCCAACAAGAAGCCATCAAAATACTGTCAGTGAGATCAGTAGGAAACATGGAAAAAATATGTACATAGGAAATGTGTATGAGTGGTCCTTTCATAGAGTATGCAGATACAGTATAAACCCCTTTTGCTACAATGACCTTTTCATTGTTACACAGTGTATATCTACAACTAATCTATGTATTTTTAAATAAGCCCTTTAGATAGCAATGCACTCAAGTATATATTTAAAGTGGTAACAATGACTTCAAGCAGCAAATCTGAAGAAGCATCAACATTTGGCTAGGTGAGGTGGTCCACACTTGTAAACCTAGCACTTTGGAAGGCCACGGCAGGAGGATCACTTGAGCCCAGGAGTTTGAGACCTGCTTGGGCAACATAGGGAGACCCCGTCTCTACAAAAAATACAAAAAATAGAGCGGCATGGTGGCTCACACCTATAATCCCAGCACTTTGGGAGGCTGAGGCAGGTGGATCACTTGAGGTCAGGAGTTCGAGACCAGCCTGGCCAATGTGGATAAACCCCATCTCTACTAAAATACAAAAATTAGCCTGGCGTGGTGGCATGTGCCTGTAGTCCCAGCTACTCAAGAGGCTGAGGCAGAAGAATCACTTGAACCTGGGAGGTGGAGGCTGCAGTGAGCCGAGATTGTGCCACCGCACTTCAGCCTGGGTGACAGAGTGAGACTCCGTATCAAAAAAAAAAAAAAAAAAAAAAATTGATGGCATGGTTTTGCTGTGTCCCCACCCAAATGTCATCTTGAACTGTAGTTCCCATAATCCCCAAGTGTCATGGGAAGGACCCGGTGGGAGGTAATTGAAACACAGGGGTGGTTACCTCCATGCTGTTCTCATGATAGCGAGTTCTCACAAGATCTGATGGTTTTGTAAGGGGCTTCGCTCCTCTCATTCTCTCTCCTGCCGCCCTGCCTTCCACCATGACTGTAAGTTTCCTGAGGCCTCCCCAGCCATGAGGAACTGTGAGTCAATCAAACCTCTTTTCTTTATAAATTACCCAGTCTCTGGTATTTCTTCATAGCAGCATGAGAACAGACTAATACAATCAACATTTAATTCAAAGGCAATAAGCAGTTATTGTAAAATTGTGTCTGAAAATGACAATACATGCAGCTGTAAAAGATGCCTTTACAAAACATTCTATGAAACATAACTTGTAATTAGATCCAATGACTGTTCTTCTAAATTAATCTTTTTTTTTCAATTCCAAGTTTTCTTGTCCACTGGAAAAAAAAATCGGTAATTGTTCATGTTGGCTTCACTAGCAGAAATTCCCAGAGACAACTGATGCAAGTTTATCACTATCATGAGACCTCTTCCATAGAAAAACCATCATCACATTAACTGCTTGATTTCTTTCATCCAATTCATGGAATCAAAATAAAGCTTTTGAAAGTTAACTCTGTTCAAAGTAAAACATCTCATATTACTGTGTATGTTGTGAATTGTTTAAAAACATGTAACACTGAAGATAAAATTTTTGTTTTAGTGATGATGAGAATACAAATATTGGTTAAGTAGACTGTCATGGTAAAAACAATATTCCCACTAAGCTAAAACAAAAAAAGGATAAAACAAAAAATATACTTGAAATGATTATGGAGTATACATTACTCATAACTATATGCAAAAAGACTATAATATTTTACCAACTGAAAGATACGCTGTAGATGTGGAAATGTACAAATATACATAGTAACTGAACTATAAAATCTGTGATCAAGATGACAATTTACATATTAAATACATATAAATGACAGCATGTGATTTCTGTTACATGTCAATGATATTTTTGGAAATGTTTGAGCCTTTGAAGAACTACTTCATAAATCAACTTAAGTGTCCTACAATGGTATCAAGTTTTATAAATGAGTCTTCTGATTTTTGGTTGAATGTTTTTTAAAATCATTAAATATTTTCTAATCAGTTGGAAATATTCAATCAAAGTATTCAATAAACTGAAGTGCCACAAAAAAAAAACCTTCAGGTTTTGAAGTCTTTGGCAAACTGTAGTTGTTGAAAACAAAAGCTTGCAAACAGGGAAGTGCCAAATGAAAGTGTTGACCATTTCCAACTTATCAACCATAAAATACAACTTAGAGGGCTGTAAAAAATTATATTAAATATATATAGCCATACTGGAGAAAACAATCCAGAAAAACACAAGGAACATGGCATTAGAGATACAGCTAATAAAGGCACATGAAAATGCACAAAGAATGATTCTACCTGGGTCATGTTTTTTTTTTCTTTTTCTTTTTTTCTTTCTTCTTAGAGTCATGTTTTTAACAAGCACTGCTGTTTGGTCAGTCAACAAACACACTGAATACTCACTATGGGCACAATGAAAAACTGAGAATGCCTAATGGCTGGAATGACCATGTGACTTATTATCCAAACTGAAACACTCTTTTAAAGAGCCAGCGTCTTGCTCTGTCACCCAGGCTACAGAGCCTGCAGTGGCGCGATCAGAGCTCACTGCAGCCTCTAACTCCTGGGCTGAAGAGATCCTCCTGCCTCAGCCTCCTGAGTGGCTGGGATTACAGGTACACACCACCATACCCAGCTAAGACAGTGAGTGTGTGCGCACATGTGTGGAGACAGGAGTCTTGCTAGGTTGACTACACTGGTCTCCGACTCCTGGCTTCAAGAGATCCTCCCACTTCAGCCTCCCAAAGTGCTGGGATTACAGGCATGAGCCACCACACCCAGCCCAAACTGAAACATTCTTGAAAGAGAAAGAGGGTGTTAAAATGATTACATAATTTGTTGAAATATTTGTTCATCTGTTGAATAATTTGTTCATTTTTACTTATTTAAAAACTATTTTCAGGCTGTGCACAGTGGCTCCCAGCACTGTAACCCCAGCATTTTGGGAGGCCAAAGCAGGCAGTTCACTTGAGCTCAGGAGTTTGAGACCACCCTGGGCAACATGGTGTACACCCCATCTCTACAAAAAATGAAAAAAAAAATTTTTTTTTCCCAAAAAATTAGCCAGGCGTGGTGGCACACCCCTGTAGTCCCAGCTACTCAGGAGGCTGAGGTGGGAGGATTGCTTGAGCCCAGAAGTGGAGGTTGCAATGAGCAGAAATGCATCCCAGCCTGGGTGGCAGAATGAGACCCCACCTCAAAATACAAAAACAAACACTCTACAAAAACTATTTTCAAAAACAGTTGTATTCATTAAAGCAAAAATAAACGTCTGCAATCACCAAAGCAAAAGCTTCTGTGCTTATACATCCT
This sequence comes from Homo sapiens, assembly GCF_000001405.40. NCBI lineage: Eukaryota > Metazoa > Chordata > Mammalia > Primates > Hominidae > Homo > Homo sapiens. Next base: position 26,064,235 of record NC_000002.12, on the reverse strand, counting down.
TGGCTTTATCACAGGATTTGGACCTCATTATTATTTATTAATTACAAAGGGGAAGAGTACTTTCAATGAAGAAATATGGCAGGCTATATCCTACCAAAAAGCTCAAATTTATTATCTCCAAAAATAGAACAAAAGGACATTAAGCAGCTCCTACTGGATGAATTGAGAAAGACATTACCACCAAGGCGGGCAGATCAGCTGTGGTCAGGAGTTCGACACCAACCTGGCCAACACATAGTGAAATCCCATTATCTACTAAAAATTACAAAAATTAGCTAGGCATAATGGCACACACCTGTAGTCCCAGCTGCTTGGGCAGCTGAAGCAGGAGACTCATTTGAACCCGGGAGGCAGAGGTTGCAGCGAGCTGAGGTCACGCCACTGCACTCCAGCCTGGGCGACAGAGTGAGACTCTTGTCTCTCCAAAAAAAATGGTGAGAAAACAAATTGTGAAACATTCTATTAAGACTCATCGAAAAATGTCAATGTAACGACTGGATCTGTTCTAGATTAAGGAATATAAAGAGACAAGGCAATTAAATTCAATGCATGATCCTGAATTGAACTCTAGACATCTTACCAGAACCACCACTTGCCAAAATGCAAAAAAGTTGAGGAAGCTTGAATAAAGATTATAAAGTATATGTTATTTACTAATATTAAACTTCTTGCATGTAATGATACTGTGCTTATGTAAGACAATGTTCTTGTTTTGAAGAGGTACATGCTAAAGTATTTAGAGATGAAGTGTCAAAACATCTGTAGCTTACTTTTCAAATTTTCAAATGGTCTAGCAAAAAAAAAATCACATAAAGAATGTGAGTGAGCAAATGTAATAAAATGGTAATAATGAGAAAATCTACATGAAGGGTATATGTTCAATTGCACAATTTTTCCAGAGTATCAGTAGGTATGAAACTTTTCAAAATAAAAAGCTGAAAGGGAAAAGGGACATAAGGAACAGATGGTCCCTCTTCTCCCAGACGATCTGTCCAACATGACTGGAGTCTAAAACTGCCAAGGCTATCTACACAAGAAAGCGAGCCTGAGGAGGACAGTCTAATAGATTGACCATTAGATTTTAAAAATAACTAGATTCCTGATTCTTTTTTTTTTTTTTGAGATGGAGTTTCACTCTTGTCGCCCAAGGTGGAGTGCAATGGTGTGATGTCGGCTCACGGCAACCCCTGCCTCCTGCATTCAAGCCATCCTCCTGCCTCAGCCTCCCGAGCAGCCGGGATTATAGGCGCCTGCCACCATGCCTGGCTAATTTTTGTATTTTTAATAGAGACAGGGTTTCACCACGTTGGCCAGGCTGGTCTCGAACTCCTGACCTCAGGTGATCCACCTGCCGCAACCTCCCAAAGTGCTGGAATTACAGGCATGAGCCACCACACCTGGCCAAGATAACTTAGATTCTTGAGGTTGCTCAACAAACTAACCCTAGAAGTGGCAATTCTTTAGAAGGTTAAAGTTCTTTAAACTTTTTGTTGTTGTTTAAGCCAGTTTGAAGGGTTTTTTTCCTTTCCTTTATTTATTTATTTATTTATTTATTTTTGAGACAGAGTCTCGCTCTATTGCCCAGGCTGGAGTGGAGTAGCATGATCTCGGCTCACTGCAACCCCCACCTCCGTGGTTCAAGCAATTCTCGTGCCTCAGCCTCCCGAGTAGCTGAGATTACAGGTATGCGCCACCAGGTCCAGCTTATTTTTGTATTTTTAGTAGAGTTGGGGTCTCACCAGGTTGACCATGCTGGTCTCAAACTCCTGGCCTCAAATGATCTGCCTGCCTCAGTCTCCCAAAGTGCTGGGATTACAGGCATGAGCCACCATGCCCAGCAGCACTTTTGTAGTTGTGTTTGTTTGGGGAGGAGGGGATGGGCTGTCACTTCCAAATAAAAGCATCATAATACATAGATCCACTGGAAAAAGTATTGCCACCAAAATTACACTAAGGCTATGGAGCAGAGGATGGGCTGCAATGAAGGATTATAGTATTTATATTTTCTATGCTATACAATCTATTACTATGTTTTTAAACTAACAGGCACTACTTTTTAAAATTTAAGTTTAAATATAATTCCAACAAAAACAGATGTATATATTATTGCCTATTATGGGAAATTACCCTTACTATAGTAACTTACCACACACAAAAAAAATTTATTCTGAACCAAAAAAGACATCACATACAGAAACCCCAACTCCACCCCTTTTCCCCAAGCTCCTAGAACCATCAACTGTTCATGGTAAGAGACTTTGCTGTTTCAGCAGGTTCCTTTAAAAGCATATGATGTTTAGCCTGGGCAACAAACTGAGGCCCTGCCTGTATAAAAAAAAATTAGCCAGCTACATTGGAGGCTGAGGCAGGAGGAGCACTTGAGCCCAGGAGGTCAAGGCTGCAGTGACCCGAAATCGTAGCACTGTACTCCAGCGTGAGTGACAGCGTGACATTCTGTCTCAAAAACAAGGGGGGGTGGGGTGGGGAGCAGATATGAAGTGAAGAGAGATGACTACTTAAAATTACTGTTAAGCGAGAAAAATAAGACTGGGGACAATGACTCACACCTATAATTACCGCCCTTTGGGAGGCCAAGGCAGGAGGATTAATGGAAGGTAGGAGTTCGAGACCAGCCTGGGAAACCTAACAAGACCCTGTCTCTACCAAAAAAAAAATTTTTTTTAATTAGTCAGGCATGGTGGCATGCACCTGTAATATTAGCTACATGGGCAGCCAACACGGCTGTGGTGGCCTATTACTGTGCCACTGTTCTCTAGTCTGGGTGACAGGGCAAGACCCTGTCTCTCAAAGGAAAACAGGGCTGGGCACAGTGGCTCACACATGTAATCCCAGCACTTTGGGAGGCACAGGTGGGCAAATCAATTGAGCTCAGGAGTTCAACACCAGCCTGGGCAACATGGCAAAATCCCGTCTCTATAAAAATCACAAAAAATTAGCCGGACCTGGTGGTGTGCACCTGTGGTCCAAGCAACTTGGGGGCACTGAGGTGGGAGGATAGCTTGAGCCCGGGAGGCAGAGGTTGCAGTGAGCTGAGATGGCACCACTGCAATCCAGCCCAGGTGACAGAGCCAGACCCTGTCTCAAAAAACAAACGAACAAAAAAAAAAAAAAAAAAAAAAAAAGACAGAGATAAATGGAAAAAAAAATTTTCAACTGAGTATCAGCTCTTTCAACCTATATTTTTAAAGAAGCAAATCAAGTTATTTTATATAAAGAAACTACATCTAGTCTGTCTATAACCACTCCCAAAATTACATGTAACTGAAGAAATCACTCATCTAGAAGCTATTTTTCAACAAAGTTTTTTTCAAGTAGCAAAATGGAAGCTCTGTAGCCATCTTGAAAGACATTTAAGTCGGGCCAGCAGATTTTTTATTGTTGTGTTTTTGTAACTAGTAAGTTTTACTTTTTTAAAAGAAAATATCTATTTCCAGCTTCTCTGGCATAATGTGATAGAAAGAACATGGTTTCTGGAGTCTGACAGACCTGGATTAGCAATTCTGGTTCTACCACTTACTATTAGCTACATAACCTTCTTTGATAAATTACCTAATGTTTCTAATCCAAAATTTTCTCACTGGCAAAATAAGGATATACAATTTTCCTCAGAGAACTACTGTGAGAACAGGCCGGGCACGTTGGCTCATGCCTATAATCCCAGCACTTTGGGAGGCCGAGGCGGGCAGATCACGAGGTCAGGAGATCGAGACCTGGCTAACACGGTGAAACCCCATCTCTACTAAAAATACAAAAAATTAGCCAGATGTGGTGGTGAGCGCCTGTAGTCCCAGCTACTCGGGAGGCTGAGGCAGGAGAATGGCGTGAACCTGGGAGGCAGAGCTTGCAGTGAGCCGAGATCGTGCCACTGCACTCCAGCCTGGGCAACAGAGCGAGACTCCGTCTGAAAAAACAAACAAACAAACAAACAAAAAAACAAAAAAGAACTACTGTGAGAACAAAATGAAAGAGTAATAGATATAAAAGCACTTCACACAGTGCCAGGCACACAGCAGTTGTTCAATAATTTCCTTCTCTTTCCCCCTCCATATTAGAGAATTCATGGCATTCACACGAATTCACAAATTCTAAATCCAAACAAGCTTCTTCAGACTCTTGCCAATTAAGGAGGATTTTAAAAGACTGGCATTATAAGTAATCTGCCTCTACCTCCAATTCTAGCTATTATTATGTGTTCTTAGAACATGACCATGATGGTATGGCCTGAACTATGCTATGCAATCCCAACCTAGTTATGACAATCTTTTAATATTTTTATTGTGGTAAAAAAAACCCACATAATTTAAAACACATCAAAGCTATTAAAACTTACCACTAACAATTTTTAAGTGTACAGTTCAGTAGCAATTTTCAGTGTTGTGAAACGTATCTCCAGAACTTTTTCATCTTGCAGAATGAAACTCCATACCCATTAAACAACTCTCCTTCACCCCTTCCCTCCCCCAGCTCCTGATAACCACCGATGGACAGTTAAGTTGTCTCCACCTCTTGGCTATTGTGAATAGTGCTGTTATAACATGGGTATGCAAAGATCTCAAAACCTTGCTTTCAGTTCTTTGGGATATATACTTGGAAGTGGGATTGCTGCATCGTATGGTAATTCCATTTTTAATTTGTTGAGTAATTATAATTTTAATACCAAAGTACTCACAATTTTTACCCCAACAAATTTCTGAAATATTTACTTACCATGTGCTTCTCAAATTTTGCATTTAGGTTAAAAAAACAAAATCCCTAAACTAAGGGTTATTCTAATGTATGCTTGCTTATGCTACTAAATGTTAGAAGTTATATTCTAGTACATTGTGTTTATTTGATACATCTGTCTCTCCCACTAGAATAAAATTTCATAAGAACTTTGCTGCCATATCCCCAATATCTAGCACATACTGGACTATTCAAACATTCGAATGAATGAATGCATTAGCAAAACAAAAATATACTGCATCTCCAACTTTAAGTTTGTTGGGGCTCCTAAATAAAGAGTCCACTGTAATGATCAAGTACAGATTTCCAAACTGGTAAAGCAATTAGTGTAATACTTCACACTGCAACATCAACTTTTATAAAGCACCTACTATATACAAGGAACTGTATTTAAGATACAGAACTGTTAAATGTGGTCTATGATTTAGAGATCACTAGAAACAGATATTAAATCATTTTTGTCTTTCAAATATTTGAGAATGTACAGGCATTGTCCTAGGGAGATATAGAGGTGAGCAGACATCCCTGCCCTCAGCAGTTCAGATTCTAAAGGAGATGGCCAATTAACAAAACAAGTAAAACTTAATCAGAAGTCATATTAATTACTGTGTAGAAGTCAGGTAAGCAGAATGGTAGATCTGAACTGGAAGAGGGGAGCTGTTGCTATTTTATTATAGGATAGAAAGGGAAGACTTCACTGACAAAATGCTATCTGAGCAGAAACCTGGAAGAAATGAGAGAATATGCCACACAAGTTAAGTACCTAGGCAGAGTGGCTACAGCCAGAGAACAACAAGCGCACAGGTCCTGAGGCAGGAGTGTGCTTGGCAAGTTCAAAAGAGAGCAAAGATGAATTGCTGCAGGGTAAACAAAACAATCTAAGTTAGGAGTTGAAGCTCTAAGCAAAGAGGTATCAGATTTAGCCGGGGCACAGTACGGTGGTATACATCTGTAATCCTAGCTACTTAGGAGGCTGAGGTGGGAGGACTGCTTGCACCCAGGAATTCCAGGCCAGAGTGAGCAGCATAGCAAAACCCTGTCTCAATTTAAAAAAAAAGAAAAGAAAAAAGCATCAGGATATCATGTAAGGACACGGAGCCTTACATGTTCTTTCTGAGATTGAAAGCCACTAAAGGCTCTAAGCAGAGGAGTAGAAGAGTGACATATATGAATTCAACTTTAAATGAATCATTATAGGTGCCCCCTTGTCAAGAAGGGGTTGTAGAGGACAAGAAAGAAAGCAAGGAGGCCAGCTAAGAACTTACAATAATCCAGGCAACATGATGGTGTCATGGACCAGGCTGGTAGCAGCGGAGATAATGAGAAGCAGGGAAATTCTGGAGGTTAATCCAAAAGAATCTGCTAATGTGAGATACCAGTGAAGGAGGCATCAAGGATACCTCCAAGATTTTTAGTCTTCTTAACAAATATCTGAGTATCTACTATGGTCCAGGCTCTGTACTACAGTTCACATCTTTCCATTTAATTCAATCAATTTTTTCAAAGTAGGGGTTATCAGCCCCTATCTAAAAGAGAAGTTCAGAGAGACTTTAAAACTAGCCTTTAGGCCGGGCATGGTGGCTCACACCTGTAATCCCAGCACTGTGGGAGGCCAAGGCAGGTGGATCCCTTGAGGTCAGGAGTTTGAGACCAGACTGGCCAACATGGTGAAACCCCGTCTCTACTAACAATACAAAAATTAGCTGGGTGTGGTTGCGCCTGCATGTAAATCCCAGCTACTGGGGACGCAGAGGTGAGAGAATCACTTGAACTCGGGAGATGAAGGTTGCAGTCAGCAGCGATCGCGTCACTGCACTCCAGCCTTGGGGAAAGAGTGAGACCCCGTCTCTGAATGAATGAATGAATGAAAGAAACTTGCCTTTAGTCAAATAAGGGACAAAACAAATTTTAACTAATCCATGTTCTTTTTCTCTACACCATCCCCCCAACCACTCTAGCCACTGCTTCTTAATTTCTTGGCTGGATTCCTATCCTGTCTACACCTTAAATGTTAATATTCCTTATAGTTTTTATTTTTTAATTTTTTTTTTTTTTTAGAGACTGTCTATGTTGCCCAGGCTGGAATGCAATGGCTATTCATAGGCGCAACTGTGCACAATGCAACCTCAAATTCCTGGGCTCAAGCAATCCTCCTGCCTCCAGTCTCCCAGTAGCTGGGACTACAGGCACCCACCACCATGCCCAGCTTCCTTAGCTTTTGGAGGTCTTCTCACTCCATGCTCATTGAAGCCACTATGACTTCAAGTAGTTTTATTTCTCAAGACTAGATTCTACTCCTTACCTCCCAGACATAACATACAAATGTCTACTGGACACGTTAACTTAGATATCCTACAAGCACATGTCACAGGGTGGAATATCATGCCTCTCAGATCTGCTCCTTCTTGCATATTCCCTAAGTTAATGGCACCAATTGGCCCAGCCAGTGGCAGTACCAGAAATACGTGGCATAGAGCTAATGCTGCCACTCACGACGCCTCTATATAGCAAAGTACAAGCTTATTGTCAGATCAGAGTCCTTCATAGTAGGCACCACACAGTTTTTAGGGCCAGGCTCAGTGGCTCACACCTGTAATTCCAGCACTTTAGGAGGCAAGAGGATCGCTTGAGGCCAGGAGTTCGAGACCAACTTGGGCAACACTGCAAAACTCTGCCTCTACAAAAAACAAAAAAATCTAGCTGGGTGTGGTGGCATGCATCTGTAGTCCTAGCTACTCAGGAGGCTAATGGGTAAGACTGCTTGAGCCCGAGAGTTCAAGGTTACAGTGAGTTATGATCACACCACTACACTCTAGCCAGGGTGACAGACCTAGAATCTGTCTCAAGAAAAATAAATAATTTAGGGAATACATTAAAATACATCTTGTTTATTTTGAGTCTGGATTGTACTCAGAGATTGATAAAAGACTAATTTCTAGATAAATGTAGTCTTACTAAACTGAGTGTTTAAAATTCTACATCTTAAAACAAAGGGCCAGGCTCGGTGACTCACACCTGTAATCCCAGCACTTTGGGAGGCCAAGGTGGGTGGATCATGAGGTCAGGAGATTGAGACCATACTGGCCAACAAGGTGAAACCCACTATCTACTAAAAATACAAAAATTAGCCGGGTGTGATGGCACGCACCTGTAGTTCCAGCTACTGAGGAAGCTGAGGCAGGAGAATTGCCTGAACCCGGGAGGCGCAGGTTGCAGTGAGCCGAGATCACGCCACTGCACTCTAGCCTGGCGACAGAGCAAGACTCCATCTCAAAAAAAGGAAAAAAGAGAAAAAGAAAGGCCAGACACGGTGGCTCACGCCTGTAATCCCAACACTTTGGGAGGCTGAGGCAGGAGGATCCCTTGAGTTCAAGAGTTCGAGACTAGCCTAGACAACATAGAGAGATCTCATCTCTACTAAAAAAAACTAATCCAGGTGTGGTGGTGTGTGCCTGTCATCCCAGCTACTTGGGAGGCTGAGGTGGAAGGATCGCTTGAGCCTGGAAGTTTGAGGCTGCAGTGAGCTGTGATTGTGCCACTGCGCTCATCCTGGGTGACAGAGTGAGACCCTGTCTCAAAAAAAAAAGAAAAAAAAGTTCTACATCTTTCTGGAGGTACATCAACAATAACTATGTAAGGTAAGAAAACAAAACAGAAAAACACAGACCAGGCGCATGGTGGCTCACACCTGTAATCCCAGCATTTGGGAGGCCAAGGCAGGTGGATCACTTGAGGCCAGAAATTTGAGACCAGCCTGGCCAACACTGCAAAACCCCATCTCTACTACAAACACAAAAATTAGGCTGGGCAGGGTGGCTCACACCTGTAATTCCAGGACTTTGGAAGGCTGAGGCAGGCAGACCACCTGAGGTCAGGAGTTCAAGACCAGCCTGGACAACATGTTGAAACCCCGTTTCTACTAAAAATACAAAAAATTAGCTGGGCGCAGTGGTGTGCACCTGTAGTCCCAGCTACTCAGGAGGCTGAAGCCAGAGAATCACTTGAACCCGGGAGGCAGAGGTTGCAGTGAGCCAAGATCACACCACTGCTCTCCAGCCTGGGAGAAAGAGTGAGTATCTCCAAAAAAAAAAAAAAAAATTAGCCAAGTGTGGTGTCGCATGCCTGTAATCCCAGCTACTGTCTCAAAAAACAAAAATAGTGACTTAAAAGGCATAAAGCCTGTATTTCCCACAATGTAAAATGTCTTAGAAGAGCAACAAAGATACTGAGAATCATATTCTAACTTCAGATGATAAGAAAGTAGTTGGATTTTAGTGCACTTCTAACAATCCTCCACTAGAACTGAAACTAGACAAGAGCAGCCACCAACTGTATACTACACACCATTGCATCCCTAGTGCTTAGTAGAGGGTGCCTAACATATTAAAAGCCTCAATTTTTTTTTTCAATAAATGGCAAACACAGGGGATTATAACTTAATTTTCTAGTTTGTAAAAAAAAAAGACTATGCTCATCTCAAAATGCAGATCTTTAATCTTTTTTTTTTTTAAGGTGGGGTCTCACTCTGTCACCCAGGCTGCAGTGCAGTGACGTGATCTCAGCTCACTGTAACCTCCACCTCCTGGGCTCAAGCAACCCTCCCACCTCAGCCTCCCAAGTAGCTGGGACTACAGGCGTGTGCCATCAGACTTGGTTAATTTAATCTATCTTGAATCAGACATTACATCACAAGCAAAATAAACTCTCTTGAGAGATATAAAAACAAATGTAGCAAAATGCTGACAACTGGTGAATCTGGAAGATCTAAGGGGATTCATCGTAATGAGTGTTCTAACTTTCCTGCAGGTTAGAAATTTTTCAAAATAACGAAAAAGTTTTAAAAATGCTTAATCTCTTAGAGAGTTAATGTTTGAACAACTATTCTGATATTATATTTACCTTCCATAGCACTCTTGCCTATTAACTATGCTGAATATATATCCCCACATTAAAATATGCAAAAAGAAACTACTAGATTTTTTAGAATTACACCCCTATCCGGCCACGTGTGGTGGCTCACGCCTATAATGCCAGCATGTTGGGAGGCCAAGGCAGGTGGATCACCTGAGGTCAGGAGTTCCAGACCAGCCTGGCCAACATGGTGAAACCCCGTCTCTACTAAAAATACAAACATTAGGCCGGGCGCGGTGGCTCAAGCCTGTAATCCCAGTACTTTGGGAGGCCAAGACGGGCAGATCACCTGAGGTCAGGAGTTTGAGACCAGCCTGGTCAACATGGTGAAACCCTGTCTCTACTAAAAATACAAAAAAAAAAATTAGGTGGGCGTGGCGGTGGGCGCCTGTAATTCCAGCTACTTGGGAGGCTGAGGAAGGAGAATTGCTTGAACCTGGGAGGCAGAGGTTGCAGTGAGCCGAGATCACGCCATTGCACTCCACCCTGGGCGACAGAGCAAGACTCCAGCTCAAAAAAACAGGAAAAAAAAAAAAAAAAGAACAGAAGGGAAAAAAAAAAAAAAGAAAGAAAAAGAAGCCGGGTGTGGTGGCTCACACCTGTAATCCCAGCACTTTGGGAGGCTGAGGCAGGAGGATCTAGACCAGCCTGGCCAACATGATGAAACCCTGTCTCTACTAAAAATACAAAAATTAGCTGGGCGTGGTGGCACACGCCTGTAATCCCAGCTACTCAGGAGGCTGAGGCAGGAGAATCGCTTGAACCCGGAAGGCAGAAGTTGCAGTGAGCCGAGACTGTGCCATTGCACTCCAGCATGAGTGACAAGAGTGAGACTCCATCTCAAAAAATAAAAAAAAAAGAAATATACACTTGTCCATTAATATCTAATTTAAGGAAAGCAAAAGCATTTATGTAACACTAAGAATATATAAAGAGGTAGATGAACAATACTCCCACTTTGTAAGCACGAATATTTACCAGGTTTCAAACCAGCAAAAAATCAAGAATGATAACTTATTATTCAATGCCAAATGCTATGATATATAGGACCCACTGAAATCCTCTAATAGATTATGAATTTGCCGAATCACTTGCTGTTCAGTATTCTATAAAATAGTATCCATCAAGAGCATAAGATTGAAATTTAAGACTACAGTTCTACTTTGTTCAAAAAGCAAAAATACTCCATTTCCCCCCAAGTAAATCAGCTAAAAATTACACATCTAAATTAAAGCTGTCTCCTTTAAATGTCACTGATCTGGATAGTGGTGGAACTACTTGGACTCAATACTACATTCCACTATCCTAAAGAACAAAAATCTCATTATTTTGAAGGAGGACTGGATATTTACAAAAACAATAGCAAAATATCATTCACCCCAACTCTACTAATGTTACAAGTTTTAAAAAAGTGGAGTCAAAAATCATTTGAAGTCAAAAATTACCTCAACCTCCAGTTGAGACAGCAGAGAGATCTTTCTAACCCCTTCTCTCCAAAGTCACACCAACATAGAGAAAACAAGAAATATAAACTTTTCCTCCATTTCAATGAATAGACATTGCAACTGTAACCACAGTAGATGAAAACAAGCTTACAACTTCAAGGCCCACTGAAGACATCAAAGAGGAACAAGTCAATTCATTTGGGAGGGTTTAGCAGTAAGAGATATCAGACACCAAGGCAGAAAGTGAGGGGTGTATATAAGGACACCCCAACACATAGCTTCCATCTCATATACCAATATTGTCATCCCTCAAGACCAAAGCAGGTGTCTAAAGGCTCATTCTCTAGAAAATCTGCAACAGATACACTCAGCAACACCAGGCTAAATGGAGTATGGGAATGAGACTACAGATAGGAGATTTGAAAAAATAAGATTAAATACAAATGTGTACAATGAAACTAAAGTTAACCCCACACCTGCCCACCCAAGTTCCTTTAGCTGCTCAGATTCAAGAAAGCAGGCAGTCAAGCTTACATTCTCCTCCCCAGATTCGAGGCAGGTGATCTGAGTCTTTCTCTGGAGAAACAGAATGGCTCCAGAAACAAGACCAACAAACATTAATGCTTGGAATCTCTCTCAGTGAAAAAAAAAAAAAAAAAAAAATTGGCTCACGGTTCCATCATCTTGTAGCAGAGCCCACCAGTGAAAAGCCCTGCCCATGTTTAGACCTTGAAAACATCTTTTCTTTGAGAATGCGTCTCACTCTGTTGCCCAGGCTGGAGAATAGTGGCGTGATCATGGGTCTCTACAGCCTCAACCTCCCAGGCTCAAGCAGTCTACCTACATCTGCCTCCCAAGTAGCTGGGACTACAGGCGTGAACCACCATGATCAGTTACTTTTCTTTTTTTAAATTTTTTGTAGAGACGGGGGTCTCCCTATGTTGCCTAGGCTGATCTCAAACTCCTGGGCTCAAACAATCCTCCTGTCTCAGCCTCCCAAAGTGCTAGGATTACAGGCATAAGTCACCACGTCTTGCTGCAAACATCTTTTTAATGACTTTTTGTTTTTTTTTTTTTGAGACTGAGTCTCGCTCTGTTGCCCAGGCTGGAGTGCAGTGGCGGGATCTCAGCTCACTGCAACCTCCGCCTCCCGGGTTCAAGTGATTCTCCTGACTCAGCCTCCTGAGTAGCTGGGATTACAGGTGCGTGCCACCATGCCCAGCTAATTTTTGTATTTTTAGTAGAGACGGGGTTTCACCATGTTGGTCAGGCTGGTCTTGGAACTCCTGACCTCCTGATCCGCCTGCCTCAGCCTCCCAAAGTGCTGGGATTACAGGCGTGAACCACCTCACCTGGCCTTAATGACTCTTTTTTTTTTTGGAGACGGAGTCTCGCTTTGTCACCCAGGCTAGAGTGCAGTGGCGCAATCTTGGTTCACTGCAACCTCTGCCTCCTGGGTTCAAGTGATTCTCCTGCCTCAGCCTCCCGAGTAGCTGGGACTACAGGCACTCACCACCACGTCCGGCTTTTTTTTTTTTGTATTTTTAGTGGAAACGGTGTTTCACCATGTTGGTCAGGATGGTCTCGATCTCTTGACCTCGTTCGTGATCCACCCACCTTGGCCTCCCAAAGTGTGGGGATTACAGGCGTGAGCCACTGCGCCTGGCCTTTAATGACTCATTCTTAATTATGAATGTGCAGTCTGAAATCAACAATCATTTGAGGAAGGCTTCCAAAAAAAATTTACAATAAAACGGGGGGGGGGGGGGGGGGCAAAAAGGGAGGACTTGAAGGAAGGGAAGAGAAAGTAAGAAATAGAAGAAAACATCAAATAAGCTATCCTCCAAGAAGAGAAAATAGTATATTCAAAAAACAAGAATTTTAAAAAACAAATTTATGCCAGGCATGGTGGCTCACACTTAAAATCCCAGCACTCTGGGAGGCCAAGGTAGGAGGATCAATTGAGCCCAGGAGTTAAGATCAGCCTGGACAACATAGTGAGGCCCAGTCTCTACAAAAAATTTAAAAATTAACCAGATGCAGTGGCACATGCCTGTAGTCCTAGCTACTTAGGAGGCCGAGGTGGGAAGATCACTTGAACCCAGGAAGATCTCTTGAGCCCGGGAGGTTGAGGCTGCAGAGAGCCCTGATCACGCCACTGCACTCTAGCCTGGGAGACAGAGCAAGACTCTGTCTCTAAAAAGAAAAGTCAAACAAAAAAATTTAAGGACAGGCACAAGGACTCACACCTGTAATCTCAGCACTTTGGGAGGCTGAAGTGGGACAATCACTTGAGCCCAGGAGACAAAATGAGACCCATGTATAGAAAAAAAAGAGAAAAAATTAGCCACGTGTGGTGGTATGCACCTGTGGTCCCAACCACTCAGGAGGCTGAAGTGGGAGGATTGCTTGGGCCCAGGAGGTTGAGGCTGCAGTAAGGCTGTCACAAACCTGGGTGACAGAGTGAAACCCTGTCTCCAAAGAAAAAATTAAGGAATAGACAAGAAAAAACTACCAGAAATTAAAAATATGACAGCTGAAAACCTTCAATATAAAGGTAAAAAGATAAAGTCAAAGGAATCTCCCAGGCAGTAGAACAAATTAACAAAGTTGGAAGGACCTGGAAAGGCCCACCCAGTACCCAGAACAACAGATTTATAAAAAAGACCCACCTACCAAGGTACGTAATTATGAAATTTTTTATTAAGAACTTAAAAAATTAGAAATCTTCCAAAGATAAACTAGGCTACTATAAATAAATAATTATCCTACAAATAAAGGATAAAGAATCAGAATGGTATCAGAACTGTCAGCAACTAGAAGACAATGGAGTAATGTTTTCAAAGTCCTAAGGGAAAACTGTTTTCAACCTAGAACTCTATGCCTTGTCAAACACTCAACTGAGTGAAAAGGGAAGAATTCAGACTTTGTCAAACATGGAAAGCCTCAAAAAATTTCCTTTACCATGTACCCTTTTAGCAAAAAGCTACGATAGGATGATATGCTCAAAGGCAGTAAACCAACAAAGAAAGGTATTGCAAAAAAACAGGGTATCGCATACAGGAGAGACCCTTAGGAAATTCCCAAGGCATTAATTGTGCAACCAGGCATAATTAATAACCAGTCCATTATTGAAGCAGGACAGAGAAAGTATCTAGCAGAGAGGTGTCCAGGAAAACAACAGAAACCAAAAGATTATTATCTGGTGGTTTGGCTATGTGGAAATTCATTTTGAGAGGTTGCTGGAGTACATAGGAAGATGGAGATTAATCAAATAAAGAGGAATTTTTAACTTCAGAACAAAGGAAATATAGTAGGCTACTTAACTAAATGGAATATTTATACAGGCATAGTAATGTAACCACTGCATACCATTTTAACAAAGAACTGAAACAGAGAGCGGGATGAGATTATAAAAGGTTAAAATTCTCATCTAGGCCAGGCACAGTGGCTTATGCCTGTAATCCCAGACTGAGGCAAGAGGATCACCTGAGGTCAGAATTTCGAGACCAGCCTGGCCAACATGGTAAAACCCCATCTCTACTAAAAATATAAAAATTAGCCAGGCGTGGTGGTGCGTGCCTGTAATCCCACCTACTTGGGAGGCTGAGGCAGGAGAATCACTTGAACCCAGAAGGTGGAGGTTGCAGTGAGCAGAGATCGTGCCACTGCACTCCAGCCTGGGCAACAAGAGCTAAACTCCATCTCAAAAAAAAAAAAAAGAGGGAAAAAAAACTTTCAGAAAGCGCAGTGTAAATTACGGCAAGAGTCAACCACTAAGTCCATTTTCATTCCTGTCAGGTCATACAGAATCTCTGAAATCTTGAGAACTCCTACATCATCTGATTAACTATATGAAATTAGGAGAGGGGAAAAGGCCTTCATATTAAATAAATGGTACGGGAGCAATCAGACATCCCTTCCACAAGCAAAAAAAAAAAAAAAAAGTCGACCTCCATCTAAACCCCCCACCATATACAAAAATAACTCAAAATAGGGTGTAAAATATAAAACTATAAAACTTTTAGGAAAACACAGAAGAAAATATTTGGGATCTATGATGGACAGAGTTCCTAAATACCAAAAGCATGATCCACAAAAAGAGAGGAAAGTCCAAAAGCATGATTTATAAATTGGACCGCATCAAAGTTCCAAATGTTTGCCCTGTGAAAGCCCATGTGAAGAGGATGAAAAGACAAGCTACAGACTGGAAGAAAATATCTGTAAACCACATATCCAACAAAGGACTAGAATTTTATTTTATTGTATTGAGATAGAGTCTCACTGTCGCCCAGGCTGGAGTGATCACAGCTCACTGCAGCCTCAACCTCCCTGGCCTCAGCTGATCCTCCCATCTCAGTCTCTCAGATAGCTGAAACTACAGGTGCACACCACCACATCCAGCTAATTTTTTTCTTTTTTGTAGAGATAGGGTTTCGCCATGTTGCCCAAGCTAGTCTCAAACAACTCACCCACCTAGGCCTCCCAAAGTGCTGGGATTACAGGTGTGAGCCACTGCACCTGGTCAAGACTAGAATTTTAAATGTACAAAGAATTCTCTAAACTCAACAGTTAAAAAACAATCCAATTAGAAAATTGGCAACCACATGAACAGACATTTTTCCAAAGATGGCAAATAAGCACATAAAAGGACTTTTCAACACCTTTGGCAATCAGGAAAATGCAAATTAAAAACCACAATGAGATTATCACTACACACTTATCAGAATGACTACAGTACAAAATAGTATGATAACATTATCAAATGCTGGTGAGGATGCAGAGAAAGTGCACTCATACACTGCTGAGGATGGGGGTGTAAAATGGTATAGCCATTCTGGAAACAGTCTGGCAGTTTCTTATAAAACGAAACATGCAATTACTATGTGACCCAACAATTGCAGTTTTGGGTGTTTATTCCAAAGAAACAAAAATTTATGATCACACAACCTGTACACAAAATATTCCTAGCAGCTTTATTCATATTAGCTAAAAACTAGAATCAGCCCAGATGTCGGTCAATGGGTAAAGATTAAACAAACTGGTACATACCATGAAGTATACTACTCAACAATTTAAAAAAAAAAAAAAAAAAACTAATGGGCCCGGCACGGTGGCTCACGCCTGTAATCCCAACACTTTGGGAGGCCAAGGCCGAGGCCGGCAGATCACCTGAGGTCAGGAGTTCAAGACCAGTCTGGTCAACATGGTGAAACCTCGTCTCCACTAAAAATACAAAAAAATTAGCTGGGTGTGGTGGTGCATGCCTGTAGTCCCAGCTACTTGGGAGGCTGTGGCAGGAGAATCGTTTGAACACAGGAGGCAGGGGTTGCAGTGAGCCAAGATTGTGCGACTGCACTCCAGCCTGGGCAACAAAGTGAGACTCTGTCTCAAAAAAAAAAAAAAAAAACAGGCCAGGCATGGTGGCTCACACCTGTAATCCCAACACTTTGGGAGGCCGAGGCAGGCAAGGCAGATCACCTGAGGTCAGGCGTTCAAGACCAGCCCGGCCAATGTAGTCAAACCCCATCTCTACTAAAAATACAAAAATTAGCTGGGCATGGTGGTGGGTGCCTGTAATCCCAGCTACTCAGGAGGCTGAGGCGAGGAGAATCACTTGAACCTGGGAGGCAGAGGTTGCAGTGAGCCGAGATTGTGCCACTGCACTCCAGCCTAGGCGACAGAACAAGACTCTGTCTCAATAAAAAAACAAACAAACAAACAAACAAAACAAATGATACACACAACTTGGATTAATCTCCAGGGAATTATGCTGAGTTGGGGGGTGGGGGGGAGCCAATCCCAAAAGGTTACATTCTATATGATTCCATTTATACAACATTTGTAAAATGACAAAATTTTAGAAATGGAGGACAGTTTCATAGTTACCAAGGTTTGGAGTGTAGAAATATCGGGAGGCTATAATTACAAAAGAACATGAAGGGTCCTTGTTCCTTGGAACTGTTGTATATTGACTATGGTGGTGGATACATGAACCTATGAATGACAAAATTGTACCAAATTTCATATACACACAAATGAATAAAAATAAAACTGGGGAATTTTAATAAGGCTGGTGTACTACACCAGATGTCAATATTCTGGTTGTGATGTTATAAAAATTTCCCAAAACTGCTACCATTGGAAGAAACTGGGCAAAGTATACAAGAGATCCCTTTGTATTACCTTTTACAACTGCATGAGAAATTACAATTATCTTAATAAAAATTTCAACTTAAAAAAAGTCTGTACAGAAGCATTGCTAATTATACGAAAGAAACAAATCAACACTGTCCTTTGTTCTAATTTTGATATGATGTACTTTTTGGGTCTCCAGAATAATGGTTTTTCCATTTTCTAATGTTTTAAACCTTGGAAGCTCTGTTTCTGGGTCGTATGTGAAACACAGCATTCTAGGCCAGGCGTGGTGGCTCCCACCTATAAATCCCAGCACTCTGGGAGGCTGAGGCAGGAGTACTGATTGAGCCTAGGAGTTCGAAACCAGCCTGGGTAACATGGCGAGACCCCATCTCTATTAATTTTTTTTAATCAACAGTAAATAATAAATAAAAAAAAGAAATGTAGCATTCCATTAATAGTTGCTGTTTTCCTCAAAAATATTATTTTTCAGCTCTGGAAAGAAGAATAAACATCAAGCAATCACTTATGCTTGCAACCCAAAATACACTGCACTGTCTTCAAATAAAAACGTTTTTCTCATTTCAGATTTCCCTTAAGACTGAGTTTTCTTCACTAAAATTTCATTTTAATCAACTTTTCAAATTCCTTTTCTTTTTTTTTTTTCTTTGAGACGGAGTTTCACTCTTGTTGCCTAGGCTGGAGTGCAATGACGTGATCTCGGCTCACCACAACCTCTGCCTCCTAGATTCAAGCAATTCTCCTGCCTCAGCCTCCCGAGTAGCTGGGACTACAGGCATGCGCCACCATGCCCAGCTAATTTTTGTATTTTTAGTAGAAACAGGGTTTCTCCATGTTGGTCAGGCTGGTCTCGAACTCCCGACCTCAGGTGATCCACCGGCCTTGGCCTCCCAAAGTGCTGGGATTACAGGCGTGAGCCACCGCACCGGGCCTCAAATTCCTTTTCTTACAGTCCAAATTTAATGAACTAATTTCATAAACCCTCAATTATTCATCTATTTGAAGGACCCACCTCTATGACCTTTACAAGACTTTTAGTCTTCTGGGTTCAGATGTCCTGTTAACCTCAACATCCTTTGTAATCCTTTAAACTCTTTTTTTATATATAAAATAAAGTTTTAAAAAGCTGGCCTTGGTGGCTTTAGAGGCTGAGGCAGGAAGACTGCTTGAGCCCAGGAATTTGATCCAGTCTGGGCAACACAGCAAGACCCTGTCTCTACAAAAATCAAATCAAATAAAAATGAAACTCCTCCTTTATGACTTAACCATCTCAATAAACAGTTTTCCCAGGCAAATCTCTTCAGCTAATCATACAATTTATATTTTGTGCTAAATAATGGTCTCTTACTTGTAAATCAACACTCAACAAGCTCCTACTCCTTCGTTCTTCACAACTGCTACCACAGCTCTGCCTGGGCAACCTTCTACTGTTAGACGGCCGGGCGCGGTGGCTCACGCCTGTAATCCCAGCACTTTGGGAGGCAGAGGCGGGCGGATCATGAGGTCAGGAGATCGAGACCATCCTGGCTAACACAGTGAAACCCCGCCTCTACTAAAAATACAAAAAATTAGCTGGGCGTGGTGGCGGGCGCCTGTAGTCCCAGCTACTCAGGAGGCTGAGGCAGGAGAATGGCGTGAACCCGGGAGGCGGAGCTTGCAGTGAGCCGAGATTGTGCCACTGCACTCCAGCCTGGGCGACAGAACGAGACTCTGTCTCAAAAAAAAAAAAAAAAAAAGTTGAAAGAGATTGCCAGTATTTCTCTTATTAGCCTCTCCCTTTTGCAAACAAAACGAGAATACCAGTATTTCCTTTGCCATGCTTGTGCGTCATTATACACCACAATTCTTGAAAAGAAACATCATCGGCTCTTCTCTATTATGCGCTAAGATGGCAAAGGACAAGTAACCCGAACAAAATCCTTGATATTTTATTCTAAGACTTGTTACTTACCTATTCGTGCCCCTCCAAAAAAAAAAAACAAAAACAAAACCACAGCAACTCTACTTTTCAAATTGAAATTGATGAGCAGGAAAACTATCACTGATTTTTTTTAACATAACAATGAAATTCTCAGAATGAGCAATGTGGTTATGAATAAGATTGGCTGTGGATTCTAATAAAAACTCCTGGCGGGGCGCAATGGCTTACACCTGTAATCCCAGCACTTTGGGAGGCCGAGGCAGGTGGATCACCTGAGGTCAGGAGTTTGAGACCAGCCTGGTCAACAGGGCGAAACCCTGTCTCTGCTAAAAATACAAAAATTAGCCAGCAGTGGTGGCTCATGCCTGTAATCCCAGCTACTCGGGAGGTTGAGGCAGGAGAATCATCTGAACCCGGGAGGTGGAGGTTGCAGTGTGCCAAGATGACGCAACTGCACTCCAGCCTCGGGAACAAAAGTGAAACTCTATCTCAAAAAAAAAAAAAAACTAATTAGCCATGTGGCCTTTTGGCCTTCTGGAAGTTACTTCACCTCACCAGTCTCAGTTTTCCCACTTTGAAAATTCATTTAAGGGTTCATTCCTGCACTAACATTCTGTGATTCTAACATTCCAAGAAGGTCTATGCAAATACAGACAACAAAAAGACAAATCTGCCTTCAACAACTGAAAGTACAGACCAGTGATATTAAAGCATGGGAAAGTACCATAAAGGATCCTCTTGATTCACAACCACTGGTTAACAGTAGCTAACACCTGGAACAGGAGGGGCCGTCTGTGATCAAATGCTCTTTTAGAGAACTGGGTCGAGTGTTAGTTTTTTGGGTTTTGTTGAGCGGTGGGGAAAATATATCTAAAACATTTACCATTTAAACCATTTTCTAAAACATAACATTAAATTTGCCATCTTAACCATTTTTAATGTGTACAGTTCAGTAGGTGTTAAGTGTATCACACCATTGTGCAACAGATCTCCAGAGCCTTTTCATTCTGCAAAACTGTAATGCGTTGTTTTATACTCATTAAACACCTTCCTATTTCCCTCTTCCCCAGCCCCTGGTAATCACCATTATTTCTGTTTCTATGAATTTGACTTTAGATAGCCTCATATTCATATAAATGAAATCACATAGTATTTGTCTTTTCATGCATTTCAAACATTTTTAAGTGTACAATTCATTGGCATTAAATTAATTCACACTGTTATACAACCATCAACACTATTCCTCTCTGGAACTTTTTCATCCTTCCAAACTAAAACTCTGTGATCATTAAGCAATAACTCCCCATTACTCTGTCCCCCAGGCCCCAGTAACCACTATTCCACTAATTTTGTCTACTATAGGTACCTCACACATTATTTGTCCTTTTGTGTCCAACTCATTTTACTTAGTAAACTATTTTCAAGGCGTATCCATGTGGTAGCATGTTAGAATTTCCCTCCCTTTTAAGGCTGAATAATATTCCATTCTATGTGTATACCACATTTTGTTTATCCATTTATCCACTGATGAACATGTGAGTTGTTTCCACCTTTCAGCTATCGTGCATAATGCTACTATGAATGCTGGTGTACAAATAGCTGTTTGAGTCTTTTTTGTTGTTGTTTGTTTTGAGACAGGGTCTTGCTCTGTCATCCAGGCTGGAGTACAGTGGCATGATCATCAGCTCACTGCAACCTCCGCTTCCCGGGTTCAAGTGATCCTCTCACCTCAGCCTCCCAAGCAGCTGGTACTACAGGCATGCGCCAACATGTACAGCTAATTTTGGGGGGTTTCTTGGTAGAGACAGGATCTCACCATGTTGCCCAGGCTGGTCTTGAACTCCTGAGCCCAAGTAATCTGGCCTCCTAAAGTGCTGGGATTTACGGGCATAAGCCACCTTGCCTGGCCCTGTTTGAATCTTTGATTTAAATTATCCTGGATATAACTCGAAGTGAGATCACTAGATCATATGGTAATTTCATTTTTAATTTTTTGAGAAACCACCCTATTGTTTCTCACTGTGGCTGCACCATTTCACATTCCCACCAGCAATGCACCAAGGTTCCAATTTCTCTACAACCTCATCACTTGCTTTTGTCGTTTGTTGTTGTTGTTATAACTATCCTAAATGGTCGCAAAGTAACATCTCACTGTGGTTTTGATTTGCATTTCCCTAATTATTAGTGATGCTGAACATCTTTCCATATGTTTATTGGGCATCTGCTTAGCTTCTTTGGAGAAATACCTACAGAGGTTTTTTTTTTTTAAATAGTAATTATGAAACAATTCACAAATTTGCGTGTCATCCTTGCGCAGGGACCATACTAATCTTCTCCATATCCTTCCAATTTTAGTATATATGCTACCGAGACAAGCACTCTGGATGGTCTTTTGGGGTTTTTTGTTTAAGACAGAATCTCACTCTGTCATCCAGGCTGGAGTGAGATGGTACAATCATAGCTCACTGCAGCTTCAAACTCCTGGGCTCAAGTGATCCTCCCATCTCAGCCTCCTGAGTAGCTGGGACTACAGGTGTACACCACCGCACCCAGCTAATTTTTTATTTAAAAGCTTTTTTTTGTAGAGATGGGGTCTCGCTAAGTTGCCCAGGCTGGTCTCGAACTCCTGAGCTCAAGCTATCCTCCTGCCTCAGCCTCCCAAAGTGTTGGAAATACAGGTGTGAGCCACAGCACCCAGCCTAATCAATCATTTCTTAAATGCAGGTTAGTGGAACCAACCTACTCTTCCAAAACTTAGCAAAATCATCCTGACAACAAAATGTATGTATTATACCTCTCTTAGGGACAAGAGCCTTTACCAACTTGATTTCTTACATGGAGCCGAGAGACTCCAATTCCCAGTGAAAAATATTCCCTGTTAAAAAATGAGTAAGCCTGTGGTGGAGAAAGGATTAATGACACCAAAAGGTAGCACATCCAGTATAGAAGCAGCCCACTAAAAGCTTGTGCTTTGGGGACAAATCCATGTAATTCCCACATCACTAATAAGTAACGCATTCCTGAGCTCATACTACCAAGATGGTTATGGTCAAATCAACCACTGAAATCTTCTCATCCAAAAGCAGTAACTCTCTTAAGCCTATTTTTCAAACAACCTTTCAATTTCTCTTTTTCTTTTCTTTTTTTTTGAGACAGAGTTTTGCTCCTGTTGCCCAGGTTGGATTACAATGGCACGATCTCGGCTCACCGCAACCTCCGCCTCCCTGGTTCAAGCGGTTCTCCTGCCTCAGCCTCTAGAGTAGCTGAGATTACAGGCATGCGCCACCACGCCCAGCTAATTTTGTATTTTTGGTAGAGACAGGGTTTCACCATGTTGGCCAGGCTGGTCTCGAACTCTGACCTTAGGTGATCTGCCCGCCTCGGTCTCCCAAAGTGCTGGGATTACAGGCGTGAGCCACCAAACCCAGCCCCAACCTTTCAATTTCTAAGAGCAGTCTTGCCCTATTAAGCCAAACAGCTAACATTCTTTTTTTTTTTTTTTTTTTTTTTGAGTCAGCGTCTCACTCTTGTCACCCAGGCTTGAGTGCAGTGGCACGAGCTCAACTCACTGCAACCTCCGCCTCCCGGGTTTAAGCAATTCTCCTGCCTCAGAGCCTCCCAAGCAGCTGGGGCAACAGGCACACACCACCATGCCTAGCTAATTTTTGTATTTTTAGTAGAGACGGGGTTTCACCATGTTGGCCAGGCTGGTCTCAAACTCCTGACCTCTGGTGATCCACCTGCATTGGCCTCCCAAAGTGCTGGGATTACAGGCATGAGCCACTGCGCCCGGCCACAGCTAATATTGGTAAGTCTGATCCCAATCTACTTCATATAATGATCAGAAAGTAGGTAAAAAGGAAAAATTTTACATAAACTACCCCCAATTCATATTAAGGGGATCCTGATTGTACCACCTGTCTGCCTACCTGCCTGCCTTCATTCATTATTTATGGTGCACCCATTAAATGCAGGTACCCTTCCAGGTGTTTAGCACACATGAGAAAAAAAAAAAAGACAAAGATTTCTGCCTTTGTGCAACTTATATTCTGGTGCCCTTGGATTCGTTTTGAGATTGGTTGAGTGTACCATACCAGTAATTTGTTTTTTGCAGCAGTCTCCAATAAATCTGACCATAAATACAATACATAATTTCTAATACGGATGTATGAGAATTGAAAATATATAGAAAAATTCAAATACAGTAGTCTTTGTGAACACCATCCTATAAATCTATAAAAATTATTTCTTCAAAAAACCATAGCCAATAAGAAACTTAAATGACTGCACCTGAAATAATGAGGGCCTGCCTTATTTTGGCAGTCAGGTCCTTCTGAACACCTGCAAGATAACTACTTCTATACAAACCTCTGGATGTTTTCTGTTTTTGTTTTATCATACACGGTCTCGCTCTGTCACCCAGGCTGGAGTGCAGTGGTGTGATCCGAGCTCACTGCACCTTTGAACTCCTGGACTCAAGTGATCCTCCCACCTCAGCCTCCCCTGTAGCTAGAACTACAGGAACATGCCACCATGTCCTGCTAATTTTTTGTTTTTGCAGAGATGGGGTCTATGTTGCCCAGACTGGTCTCAAACTCCTGACTTCAAGTGAACTTCCCAACTCAGCCTCCCAAAGTGCTGGGATTACAGGTTTGAGCCACCACGCCCAGTCCTCAGGATGTTATAGATTCTCTATAAATCATTTATAGAGAATGCTCTAGATTTTAAAAACAACACAGCCAGACGCGATGGTGCTCGCCTGTAGTCCCAGCTACGTGAGAGGCCGAGGAAGGAGGATTGCTTAAGCCCAGGAGTTCGAGGCTACAGTGAGCTATGATTGCACCACTGCACTCCAAGTTGGGTGACAGAGTGAGATTTAATCTTTTAAACAACAACAAGAAACCCTCATCACTTAATAACATTTAACACATTCCTGAAAGTAGTCTACATTCAAAGTATTTCTAGTCATCTGCACGTTGACCAACTGGCTACTTTACATTGTTTAGACACATACCATCCAGTATGGTAGCTACAAGCCACATGTAGCTATTAATCACTTGAAATATGCCTCTTTAAAATTTATTTTTTCATTACATAATATACATCCATGTAGAAATACGCCTAATCTGAGATGAGTTGTAAGCATAGCTTACAAACCAGAGAAAAAGAATGTGAAATATCTCAACAATTTTAATTTTTTTTTCATACAGACAGGGTCTCACTATGTTGCCCAGGCTGGTCTTGAACTCTTGGGCCCAAGCAATCCTCCCACCTAGGCCTGCCAAAGTGCTGGGATTACAGGTGTGAGCCACTGAGCCTGCCCTCAACAATTTTTAAATCTTGATCACACAATAAAGTAACATTCTAGATATGAGTTAAAATATATTATTAAAATTTACTTTTTAGGCCAAGTGTGGTGGCTCACGTCTGTAATCCCAGAACTTTGGGAGGCCGAGGTGGGTGGATCACCTGAGGTCAGGAGTTCTTGACCAGCCTGGCCAACATGGCAAAACCGCATCTCTACTAAAAATACAAAAAAATTAGCTGGGCGTGGTAGTGGGTACCTGTAATCCCAGCTACTAGGGAGGCTGAGGCAGGGAGAATTGCTTGAATCTGGGAAGTGGAGGTTGCAGTGAGCCCAGATCGCGCCACTACACTCCAGCCTGGGCAACACAGTGATACTCCATCTCAAAAAGAAAAAAAATTTTTTTACTTTTTAAAATGTGACTATTTGGCCAGGTACAGTGGCTCATGCCTGTAATCCCAGGATTTTGGGAGGCCAAGGTGGGCGGATCACCTGACGTCAGGAGTTCAAGACCAGCCTGGCCAACATGGTAAAACCCTGTCTCTACTAAAAAATTCAAAAATTAGTTGGGCATGGTGGCACACGCCTATAATCCCAGGTACCTGGGAGGCTGAGGCAGTAGAATTGCTTGAACCTAGGAGGCGGAGGTTGCAGTGAGCCAAGACTGCACCACTGCACTCCAGTCTAGGCAACAGAACAAGACTCTATATCTTAAAAAAAAAAAAAAAAAAAAGTGGCTATTAAAAGTAATATATGTGGCTCACATTATTTCTTTTGAACGGCACTGGTTAAACGCAATGGTAGATTTTTTTTTTTTTTTTTTTGAGACAGAGTCTCGCTCTGTTGCCCAGGCTGAAGTGCAGTAGTGCGACCTCGGCTCACTGCAAGCTCCGCCACCTTCTGGGTTCATGCCATTCCCCTGCCTCAGCCTCCCGAGCAGCTGGGACTACAAGCGCCCACCACCACGGACAGCTAATTTTTTGTATTTTTAGTAGAGACGAAGTTTCACCATGTTTGGCAGGATGGTCTCGATCTCCTGACCTCGTGATCCACCCACCTCAGCCTCCCAAAGCGCTGGGATTATAGGCGTGAGCCATCGCGCCCCGCCCAATGGTATTTTAAACCTGTGCACAGAGCTAATACATGTATGTGTTCAAGCTGTACTCAGAATCATTTATTTTCTCAACTTACACTATTCAACATCTTATATGTGAAAACATTTTTACCTGAAAGTATGAAAATGTCAGAGTCTAGGCTGGGCGCAGTGGCTCATGCCTGTAATCCCAGCAGTTTGGGAGGCTGAGGCAGGTGGATCACCTGAGGTCAGGAGTTCAAGAGCAGCCTGACCAACATGATGAAACACCACCTCTACTAAAAATACTAAATTGGCCAGGCGTGGTGGTGCGCACCTGTAATCCCAGCTACTCAGGAGGCTGAGGCAGGAGAATCGCTTGAACCTGGGAGGCAGAGGTTGCAGTGAACAGAGATTGTGCCACTACACTCCAGCCTGAGCAACAAAAGCGAAAATCCATCTCAAAAAAAAAAAAAACAAACAAACAAAGGAGGGCAGTGTGGTGGCTTCCGCCTGTAATCCCAGCACTTTGAGACGCTGAGGCGGGCAGATCACCTGAGGTCAGAAGTTCGAGACCAGCCTGGCCAACATGGTGAAACCCCGTCTCTATTAAAAATACAAAATTAGCCAGGTGTGGTGGCATATGCCTGTAATCCCAGCTACTTGGGAGGCTGAGGCAGAAGAATCACCTAAGCCTGGGAGGCGGAGGTTGCAGTGAGCCGAGATCACACCATTGCACTCCAGCCTGGGCAAAAAGAACGAAACTCCGTCTCAAAAAAAAAAAGAAATTGTTTAGTGGAGCACCAACAAATACTTGGGTACCACGGTGTGCAGGATGTTCAATCCATAAAATAACATGTTCTGCCACACCTCCACAGCAGAAGAGTCACATATTCTATATATAGCTAATATGCACTGTGCTCCTACAAAGTGCCTGGTCCTGGCACCATGTGAAGTGCTTTACTCTCACTAACCCCTAAAATCCTCACAACTACCCTATGTGGTAGATATTATGATTGACACTTTTTTTTTTTTTTGAGACAGAGTTTCACTCTTGTTGCCCAGGCTGGAGTGCAATGGCACGATCTCGGCTCACCACAACCTCTGTCTCCCGGGTTCAAGCGATTCTCCTGCCTCAGCCTCCTGAGTAACTGGGATTACAAGCATGCGCCACCACGCCCAGATAATTTTTGTATTTTTAGTAGAGACAGGGTTTCTCCATGTTGATCAGGCTGGTCTCGAACTTCCGACCTCAGGTGATCCGCCTGCCTCGGCCTCCCAAAGAGCTGGGATTACAGGAGTGAGCCACCGTGCCCAGCCTTAACACTCTTAAAGAGCCTGAAGCCGACAGAGGTTAAGTAATCTGCCAAAGTTGCACAGCTAGTAACCTGTGGAAACAAGATTCCAACCCAGCAGACTTGATCCAAAATCATCACACATCTTCCCAAGTAAAAGGGCTACAAAAAGATTATACCATTATCTTACAGGATTGAGTTTTAGTTGGGGGCATGCACCCTTTACAAAAAGATTGGAGTAGACAGAGTTAATGTTTTGCTTCCTACTCCACACTGTTCCTAAGGATAGGTTAAAGTTGACCACACAGCCAGGCGTGGTGGCTCACGCCTGTAATCCCAGCACTTTGGGAGGCTGGGGCGGTGGATTGCTTGAGGTCAAGACCAGCCTGACCAACATGGTGAAACCATCTCTACTAAAAATACAGAAATTAGCCAGGTGTGGTGGTGGGCACCTGTAGTCTCTGCTACTCAGGAAGCTGAGGCAGAATTGCTTGAACCCCTGAGGCGGAGGTTGCAGTGGGCCGAGATCACGCCACTGCACTCCAGCCTGGGCCACAGAGTGAGGCTCAGTCTCAAAATAAATAAATAAAGTTGACCACATGAATTAAATCCTCAACCTTACTATACATTTGTTCTATGCTCCCTTTTCCAGAAAGGCCCTATCCTACCCCTCTGACTCTATTCCTATTAGTCCTTCAGACTTCATTTATTTATTATTATTTTGAGACGGAGTCTGGCTTTGTTGCCCAGGCTGGAGTGCAGTGGCACAATCTCAGCTCACTGCAACCTCCGCCTCCCAGGTTCAAGTGATTCTCCTGCCTCAGCCTCCTGAGTAGCTGGGACTACAGGTGCCTGCCACTACGCCCAGCTAATTTTTGTATTTTTAGTAAAAACGGGGTTTCACCATATTGGCCAAACTGGTCTTGACCTCCCGACCTTGTGATCCGCCCGCCAAGGCCTCCCAAAGTGCTGGGATTACAGGCATGAGCCACCGCGCCCGGCCCAGACTTCATTTTAGGTATCATCTCCACGTAAGCCTACTCAAACTCCTCACGATTTAGACTAGCCACTCTTCCTCCCTGTGCTTACTATTGTAGCATCTTCCACACTATTATGATTATCTCACCGGAATGCTCCTCAAGGGGTCTGTTGTGTTCATCATTTATTCCCAGTGCCTAAAAACAGTGCCCAGCATTAGGTGCTCAATAAATATTTGCTGACCCATCTGATCACCTAACCCTAGCCAGCTACAGCTAAAAGTGGAGTGTTAAAAGCAAACAGTGCTAGGGAAGTGCTAGCGCTAAGTGCTAGTATTCTCTAACCCACAAGTTAGAGAACAAGCTCTAAGTTTCATGAAATTTATGACAGACCAAGAAAACAGTATGATACTCTGGAAATAAGGATTATGATAATTTGCCTCCCAAAAAAGGTAAGCAAAATAAAAATCTATTTAAAAAATCACTTGTCCAATTTAATTTCAGTATAATTTCTTTTGTGAGAATGAAGCAGGTATTTGTCACAAAAGAAAACCCAAACCAAATATTTCAGTTACGCTATACAAACTGTTTCAAATCAGCTTAATTTTGACAATTCCCAGAGTTCAAAGACGACTGCCGTTGCTTTTTAAAAGCCTCTCAATATAAAAGTACATTTAAAAATGGGTTCAACTGCACCGCCACAATGCTGAGAGCCATGTGTCTTTTAAGAAATTTATTGCGGAGCGGATGGGTTTCACAATTAATATAGCACAATTAGCGTCAATGCCACTTAAATTTTCTAACCAGATTCAAAAGGGACTTTCCTAGAGCCTTCCCTTTTCCTTTCCTAAACGGGAAATTCGATTAAAAAGGTCACTCTTTAGCTCTTACTTCCACACTAAGTAATTCTGAAACATGGTGAAAGTGCATTATAAGTCCATAGGGCTATGACTGGCAAAATACTTTCCTGTAAATACTAGAGTCAAATAAAATAGAAGAGAGAGCTTGACTTCACTCCGTTGGGTTTGAGGACAGAAACTGATCATCTCCCTCAGATTACTGCTTCTGTTGATGTCTCGAAAAGCACTGAGGCAAATATGCCAGAGTCCCACCCCAAGCGCGAAGAGCCTCCGATTGTTTGACACATCAATGGATTAGTGAATGAGGGCAACTCACTCTTCCCTTCTAATTTACCTTAATTATTCTTCTCAGAAACCCTCAAGTTTACTCTAAGTTATCACCATATGGAATCTTTTCTTTGCCCCAAAGTATAAATTCAGGCCTTTCCCAAATAGCTAGTACTGCTTCAATCGCAACCACTGAAATAAATACCTTAAAAATATCACACATCTACTAATTCCACGCAAATGTGGAAAAAGCCAGTCCAGTCGCCTGAAGAAATAAGGTTCTGGAACATGGTTAAATGATGCATATTTTGTAACAGAAGGCACTGAGCATAGTGGGAGACTCGAAAGCAAAAGACCGGATGGAAATCATGGGAAGACCCCGCCCCAGTAAGCTCGATGCCGATTCAAACAGTAACTTGGATGTGTCGTTTGGAATCGGAATCACTGAAACAAAGGCGTATATTACGGGAAGCAAGATGTCTGGAGTAAAATAAACGGTATGCAGCTACCGAGACCGTACACCGTCCTCCCACAGGTCTTACCTATGGTGGAAATAAAGGTAGTATTGAAGGCATCATCCGAAAAACGAAAAAGGACGCAGGTCTTCCCCACTCCGGAATCCCCGATCAGGAGCAGCTTGAAAAGCAGGTCGTACGTCTTCTTCGCCATTGGGAGGAGCGGCTCGGGCTCTCGCCGCCGGCGGCCCCAAGGGATCGGTCCCTCTCACTACGGCCAACTCCTCACTCGGGCGTTCTCAGGCCGGAGGACCGGGGAAGCGTGGGAAAAAGGCTCGAGACGGCGCGGGCGACCTACGAACAGCTTTGAGGAAGCCCCGACAGTGGCGGCGTCCAGTGCCTCCGAGGGCGGCGACCGCGGCTCCGCAGCCTCTCCCAGCCCGTCCGCCCGGTTCCGGGGAGTCGGTCGGGACAAAATGGCCTCCCCTCCCCCCTCAGGGCTTCTCGGCCGGGACGCTCCCACGGGCGAGCAAGCCTGCTCTGCCGTCGAGGAGGCGCAGCGGGCGTGAGGACAGTCTCTCTCCCGAGCGGAAACTCCCTGCTAGCACGCGGCGAGGGCAGCGAAGAAGGACCCCTAAGTCGACGAGCTCAGTTACATAGCCCCAGGAAACCGAGCCACCCCGGCCAGAGCCACCTTTTCCCCGTGCCCTCTCACGCCGGCGTGCGCGCTGCCTGAGACGCACGCAAGGGCGTACGCCCGCCCTTCCCTCACGCCCTAGCCTTGCGGTCCGCCTCTGCGCACGCGCACAAGAGGGCATGGGGGCGCGCCGAAGTGGCGAGTGGAATGCTCCTGTCTCCAAGCCTCAGTCTGAGGCTGGACCCAGAGGGGAGAAGGGAGGGGCGAGAAAGGGCGAGGCCGCGGGCGCGCTCCCTGTGGCCGCCTGATAGGGTGCGCGGCGTTACGAGCACGCCCCGGGGGAGACGCTACCTAGCGACTGCGCAGGCGCAGCGCCCCCCCTCCGACCCCCGCCTCCCGCCTCCCGCTCCCCGCTCCCCGGGACACCCTTACAGAGCCCAGCACCTCCTTCCCCTCCCGGGGTCTCCCGCTGGACTGCGCTGCGGTTTCTCTGCACAGCGCTTGTCGGGTGTGTTGAGCTGGAGGTCTTGGCGCAGCGACGGGCTTGGGTGGCCATGTGTTCCCGTGTAGGTGGAGCTCGTAAACGCGAGAAAAAGCCGCGCCCTGGGTCATTTAATAGCCTCTTTGCTAGAACGAGACGCCTCCCGGCGTGCCCCCTCTCCAGGGCCAGCCCTGACGGGGAAACATGAGCGCTCCATCCGGATTGACTTCAAGAGCAAGAGTTTGAGATGGAAAAGCTGGCCACGCCGCTCGGGTTGGGATGAGGTAATCCTCACAACCTCTTCCTGGGCGAGGAGAGGAAGGTTGAGGAACACCTGGGCGCAGGAAGAACCTCCCTGCGAAGTGGAGGGTTCTGTGCGGTGCTCAGAGAACCTGCTTCAGGCCTTTGCCGTCCTTCAGGAATCCGGGAGAACCCGAGAGCGCTCTGCAGAGGAGGTGGGGCCTCTGCCTGCCGCCAGCGTCGTACCACTGGGTTGAAAATTGAAAGGTGGTCAAGCCTACTCCCAGTCCGACACAGCCTGCTTCCTCGCATTTTCTTTTTCTTTTTTTCTTTTCTTTCTTTTTTTTTTTTTTTTTTTTGAGATGGAGTTTCGCTCGTTTCCTCGCATTTTCTTTTTCTTTTTTTCTTTTCTTTCTTTTTTTTTTTTTTTTTGAGATGGAGTTTCGCTCTTGTTGCCCAGGCTAGAGTGCAATGGCACAATCTCTGCTCACTGCAACCTCCACCACCTGGGTTCAAGTGATTCTCCTGCCTCGGCCTCCCAAGTAGCTGGGATTACAGGCATGTGCTACCACGCCCGGCTAATTTTTTGTATTTAGTAGAGACGGGGTTTCACCCTGTTAGTCAGGCTGGTGTCGAACACCTGACAGGTGACCCGCCCGCCCCGGCCTCCCAAAGTGCTGGGATTACAGGCGTTAGCCCCCGCGCCCGGGCCCTCGCATTTTCTTTGCATTTGCTTTACCTTCTGTTCTCTCTCCCCATCAGTCCTGTTTACGCCACCCTTTTTCTCTCCTACCCTTCTGTAGTTGCAGTATGCATGCTGCTGACCTTCCATTCTCAGGGACATCCATCCCTCAAAGCACACCTAGGTGTGATGGCACAGGAGTTGAACCTGGTGAGCTGGTTCAACCTGATAAAGTGGAAAACGCTGAAGTATGTGGAAAACAAGAAACAGGGATAGAGAAGTAAAAACTACATTTTCACACACACCACCCCAAGATCGCCAAATCACCAAAATGTGTATTTGATATGTAATTAAAGTTAGACTTTCAGGCAATTCCGTCTTACATTTCTGTCTTATATTTCTGTCTTACATTTTTCCTTTCTTCTCAACCACCCCTAAAGCGTCCTTACCGAAGATACTTGTCTTCACTAATACAGCTTTCTCTTCAGTTGTTTTCTCCAATTGCTCCTAGTCTTGTCACTTAAACATTTTTTTTTTTTGAGACAGACTCTCACTCTACCACCCATGCTGGAGTGCAGTGGCACAATCTCGGCTTACTGCAGCCCTTCCGGGTTCAAGTGATTCTCCTGCCTCAGCCTCCTTAGTAGCTGGGATTACAGGCGTGTGCCACCAAGCCTGGCTAATTTTTATATTTTTAGTAGAGACGGGGTTTCACCATGTTGGCCAGGCTGGTCTTGAACTCCTGACCTCAGATGATCCATCCGCCTCAGCCTCCCAAAGTGCTGGGATTACAGGTGAGAGCCACTGCGCCTGGCCTCACTTAAACCTTCTTATCCTCTATGAATCATTCTGACTGTAGTCGGGAATGCCTTATGATAATAACAATTCTAAAATAGACTAGCTATGCAAATCACAAAGTGAGTGATGGTCAGTGCAGCACAGGTGTGTCGTCAATTCAGCGTCAGAAGGAAAATCTTGTTACCTTGATTATTCCTTTCAAAATAAGTTAGATTAACTCAAGCCTCAATGTTACAAAGTATTTTAAAAGTCTTGAAAGTTTTTAAGCTGGGCACAGTGACTGAACCTGTAGTCCCAGCTATTCAGGAGGCTGAGGAGGGAGGATTGCTTGACCCCAGGAGATTGAGACCAGCCTGGACAACAGAGTGGACTCCATCTGTGAAAAAATGAAGTGTTAAAGGTTTTGTTTGTTTTTAAGACAGGGTCTTGCTTGTTTCCCACACTGGAGTGTGGAGGCCTCACTGCAACCTCAAACTCCTGGCCTCAAGCGATCCTCCCACCTTGGCTTCCTAAGGTGCTGGGATTACAGGTGTGAGCCAACAGGCCCAGCCAAGACTTTTTCCTGTAGAAGGCCTAATTTGGGCCGGGCCTAGTGGCTCTCACCTGTAATCCCAGCACTTTGGGAGACCGAGGTGGGTGGATCGTTTGAGGTCAAGAGATCGAGACCATCTTGGCCAACATGGTGAGACCCCATCTCTACTAAAAATACATTAATTAGCTGAGCATGGTGGCATGCACCTGTAGTCCCAGCTACTCAGGAGGCTGAGGCAGGAGAATTGCTTAAACCAGGGAGTCGGAGGTTGCAGTGAGCCAAGATTGCACCACTGCATTCTAGCCTGGTGACAGAGCAAGACTCCATCTCAAAAAAAAAAGCCTAATTTGGAGAGTAATACCACTACGTAAATTTTGGGGATAATGGACAGTTGAAAAATCTGAAAAACCCAACACAAATGATAAATGTTTGAGGTGATGGGTAACCTCATTTGTAATGATTTGATCATTACACACAGTATGCATGTATCAAAAATCACATGTACTTCCATTAATATGTACAAATATAAGTAAAAAAGATTTTTTCACTTTATTTTTTATCCTGTAACCAACAATTTTATCACTTAGAAACCTTTCCCCATGAACTCATATTCTGAAACTTTAGGAATTATTACATTTATTAACAAATTATCGATCATAGACTTTTTTTTTTTT
Source organism: Homo sapiens (assembly GCF_000001405.40). Classification (NCBI taxonomy): domain Eukaryota; kingdom Metazoa; phylum Chordata; class Mammalia; order Primates; family Hominidae; genus Homo; species Homo sapiens. The sequence goes on along the minus strand of NC_000002.12, from coordinate 26,030,778 downwards.
GAGATAGAATCTCACTCTTTCACCCAGACTGGAGTGCAGTGGCACAGTCTTGGTTCACTGCAACTTCTGCCTCCTGGTTCAAGTGAAACTCCTGCCTCAGCCTCCCAAGTAGCTGGTATTACAGGCACCGCCACCACGCCTGTCTTGAGTTTTGTATTTTTAGTAGAGATGGGGTTTCATCATGTTGGCAAGGCTGCTCTTAGACCCCTGACCTCAAGTGATCCGCCCTCCTCAGCCTCCCAAAGTGCTGGGATTACAGGAATGAGCCACCGCGCCCAGCCCCTGGACTACATTCTTTATAGAGCAATTCTGAAAAAAGCATAAGCCTTTAACTAGGGCGTGAGCCACCATCCCTGACCAGGATAGTCTTGAACTCCTAACCTCAAGTGATTTGCCCTCCTTGGCCTCCCAAAGTGCTGGAATTATAGGCGTGAGCCACTGTGCCCCGCCAGGATACCTTTTTTTTTTTTTTTTTTTTTTTTGAGGCAGGTTCTCACTCTGTCGCCCAAGCTGCAGTGCAGTGGAACGATCATGGCTCACTGCAGCCTCAGCCTCTTGGGCTCAAGCAGTCCTCCCACTTCAGCCTCCCAAGTCCCTGAGACTATGGATGTGCACCATTACGCCCAGCTAATTTTTATATTTTTTGTGGAGATGGGGTTTTGCCATGTTGCCCAGGCTGGTCTTGAACTCCTAGGCTCAAACAATCTGCCAGCCTTGGCCTCCCAAAATGCTGGGATTACAAGTGCGAGCCAACATGCCCCACCATATATTTTAAATCATAATTTGACCCCTGCACGTAACTCACAGATGAGGAGTCTGAGATTCAGAGAAGTTAGGGCCTTCCCAGAGGTCACACTGTTAGTGCAGAGCCTGGACTATACGGGCAAGGGAAAAGAGAAGAAAACCTCCACAGGACACCGTATTACCTCAAGGTGAGAATTGCGAGGATTGAGAGGCTCGGCCAGTACTTAGCATTTGGATTCTCTAAAGTTAATTAAAGGTTTTGCTGGAGTGAGGCCTAAGCATCAAGCTATATCTGCCAGTGAAGCAAGCAGAAGTGATCAAGGTATGGAAGATCTCTGACTCTAGAAAAGAAGAGTAAAATGGGGATCTACACAGGCCTAAAGGATAAACCTAGAGTTATGAAGAAATATTTCATAAAAGTGGAAACAGTGAAAAAAATGCCAATCTACTGCTAGTTTAGGGGTTATGCTTTTTTCAAAATTGCTCTATAAAGAATGTAGTCCAGAGGCCAGGTGCAGTGGCTCATGCCTGTAATCCCAGCACTTTGAGAGGCCCAGGCGGGTGGATCACTTGATTAGGAGTTTGAGACCAGCCTGGCCAACTTGGTGAAACCCCATCTCTACTAAAAACACAAAAATTAGCCAGGCATGGTGGCAGGTACCTATAATTCCAGCTACTTGGGAGGCTGAGGCAGGAGACTCGCTTGAGCCTGGGAGGCCGAGGTTGCAGTGAGTCGAGATCGCACCACTGCACTCCAGGCTGAGTGACAGAACGAGACTCCATCTCAACAACAACAACAACAAAAAATGTAGTCCAGGCCAGGCGCAGAGGCTCATGCCTGTAATCCCAGCACTTTAGGAGGCCAAGGTAGGCAGAGAGCTTGAGTCTAGGAGTTCCAGACCAGCCTAGGTAACATGGTGAAGCCCCATCTCTAAAAAAAGTAAGAAAAAATTAGCCTGACATGGTGATGAGTTCCTGTGATCCCAGCTACTCCGGAAGGCTGAGGTGGGAGGATTGCTTGAGCCTGGGAGGCTGAGGCTGCAGTGAGCCATGATCCTGCCACTGCACTACAGCGTGAGCAACAGAGTGAGACACACTGTCAAAAAAATAAATAGACTGGGCACAGTAGCTCACGCCTGTAATCCCAGCACTTTGGGAGGCTGAGGCGGGTGGATCACGAGGTCAAGAGATCGAGACCATCCTTGTCAACATGGTGAAACCCTGTCTCTACTAAAAATATAAAAATTAGCTGGGCCTGGTAGCGTGCGCCTGTAGTCCCAGCTACTCAGGAGGCTGAGGCAGCAGAATCGCTTGAACCCGGGAAGCAGAGGTTGTAGTGAGCTGAGATCACGCCACTGCACTCCAGCCTGGGCGACAGAGTGAGACTCCGTCTCAAAAAATAAAAAATAGTTGTGTGGCGACATGAAACTGCTCACCCACAATCTGCTGAGCTCGCATGTGCGGGGGATGGGGTCCCGTGGCTTCCCCCTGTGCCTCCAGGCCACCGAGGTCCGTATCTGCCCTGTGGAGTTCAACCCCCAATTTATGTGGCATCATACGTGGCACGTATCATACGTGGTACATATGATACCTAAGGTGGAGTGGTCGGCGTTCCTGGAGGCGGCCGATAGCTTGCGCCTGATCCAGATGCCTAAAGGGCCAGTTGAGGGATATGAGGAGAATGAAGAGTTTCTGAGGACCATGCACCACCTGCTGCTGGAGGTGGAAGTGATAGAGGGCACCCTGCAGTGCCCGGAATCTGGACGTATGTTCCCCATCAGCCGCGGGATCCCCAACATGCTGCTGAGTGAAGAGGAAACTGAGAGTTGATTGTGCCAGGCGCCAGTTTTTCTTGTTATGATTGTGTGTATTTTTGTTGACATATACCGTTTCCGAATTCTGCCGTGTGTATCCCCAACCCTTGACCCAATGACACCAAACACACAGTGTTCTTGAGCTCGATATTATATATTTTTTTCTCATTAAAGGTTCAAAACCAAAATAAATAAATAAATAAATAAAAATAAAAATAAAAAATAAATAAATAAATGGGAGGCTGGGCGCGGTGGCTAACACCTGTAATCGCAGCACTTTGGGAGGCCGAGGCAAGTGGATCACGAGGTCAGGAGATCAACACCATCCTGGCTAACACAGTGAAACCCCGTCTCTACTAAAAATACAAAAAATTAGCCGGGCATGGTGGTGGGCGTCTGTAGTCCCAGCTACTCGGGAGGCTGAGGCAGGAGAATGGCGTGAACCCAGGAGGCGGAGCTTGCAGTGAGCCGAGATCGTGCCACTGCAATCCAGCCTGGGCAACAGAGCGAAACTCTGTCTCAAAAAAATAAATAAATAAAATAAGTAAATAAATAAATAAAGGAGGGAGGGAGGAAAAGAGAAAGTAGTAGTCCAAATATTTGCAAAGCCAAGAAAAAAGAGGTATATTTATATGTTTATACTATCAATTAAGGTATTATCTCTATATTTTTCTAGAAAAAGCATAGTTGACCAGTTCATGGTTCTAGTCTTCAACTTAAGCTTTTAGGACCTGCCTCTACCTTATAAAAAACTCCTGCCTCAAAAGATATTGAGGCAGGATCATCTTTACCACTGTTCCCATGCATATTCAGTCTCTATACCTGATTTCTTACTCTTTTATCCCTCCCCAACTTGCTCTCCGTGTTCTTCATAAGAATTGAGTCTTCCAGGCCGGGCGTGATGGCTCACGCCTGTAATCCCAGCACTTGGCCAGGCTGAGGCAGGCGGATCACCTGAGGTCGGGAGTTCCAGCCTAGCCTGGCCAACATGGAGAAACCCTGTCTCTACTAAAAAATACAAAATTAGCCAGGCATGGTGGTGCATGCCTGTAATCCCAGCTACTCGAGAGGCTGAGGCAGGAGAATTGCCTGAACCCAGGAGGCGGAGGTTGCAGTGAACCGAGATCGTACCATTGCATTCCAGCCTGGGCAAAAAGAGGGAAACTCCGTCTCAAAAAAAAAAAAAAAAAAAAAAAGAGAGAGAATCGAGTCTTCCCTTGAAGGGCCAGCCGACTGCTACGTCATCACCTTGCTATAAAACCTTCCCCTCCAGTCTCCAGGACTTTGTGTATTTACTACTGCTTATTTCCTGTGTTCACACCCACAGTCTTCCTGCAGGGACTTCATGAGGATAGATCTTGGTTAGACTTTCCTGATGCTAAGTACTGATTGCCTAGTGGCTGGCAGCCCGTCAGTATTCTGCTCTGCCTGCATATCTTGACTTAGGCCTCCTCTTGTTAGAAAATAATTGCCCTACCAGGCATGGTGGCACATGCCTGTAGTCCCAGCTACTTAGGGGGCTGAAGCAGGAGGATTGCTTGAGCCTGGAAAGTCAAGGTTGCAGTGAGCCAAGATCCCGCCACTGTACTCCAGATTGGGCAACAGAGCAAGACCCTGTCTCAAAAAAAAAAAAAAAACAAAAAAACAAAGCCGGGTGCGGTGGCTCACGCCTGTAATCCCAGCACTTTGGGAGGCCGAGGTAGGCAGATCACAAGGTCAGGAGTTCGAGGCCAGCCTGGCCAACACGGTGAAACCCTGTCTCTACTAAAAAAAAAAGAATTAGCCGGGCATGATGGCGTGTGCCTGTAATCCCAGTTACTCGGGAGGCTGAGGCAGGAGAATCGCTTGAACTCAAGAGGCAGAGGTTGCAGTGAGCTGAGATCATGCCACTGCACTCCAGCCTGGGTGACAGAGCAAGACTCTGTCTCAAGAAAAGAAAATGATTGCCCCGGGAGTCTTCCCCAGTCCTTTGGCTATGTTTGTTCTAATCCACTGCCAAGGATGCCTCAGTTCTGAAATGCTGATCTCAGCTGGCTGTTGAGGGGCTCCAGGCCCTCGCCAACAAGTCTTATTTTCTATCCTAGCTTCCATATGCTAATCTTCAGAGAAGCTGAACGAGACTTCTTTCCCACACTATCTTCTGTATTCCCACAGTAAACTTCTGGGCTCAATTGAGTCTCCTGCCTCAGCCTCCCAAGCAGCTAGGACTACAGGAATGTGCCACCATGCCTAATTTATTTTATTTTTTTGTAGAGATAGGTTCTCACTATGTCGCCCAGGCAAGTCTTGAACTCCTGGCTTCAAGTAATCCTCCTACCTTGGCCCAGTGTCTTGCATGTAGTGGGAGCTCAATAAACTTTAGTTAAATTAAATTATATCTATATTGGGAGAAATGTTGGAAGTTGTAACTAATTTCCTGCTCCATGAAAAAATGCCCCAACCAGCCTCTATATCAACATGGCCAGTGAGCTTGCCTTGCAGACAGCTGATTGCAGGGCTAGGTATTTGTGACAAAAAAGCATTCCACAGACTGAGAGTAACTATGTTTGTCTATAACATCACCCATTTGTTTTAATTCCATCCTCTAGGGCAACACTGGATAAATCTTTCCCTAATTTCACATGACAGTGCTTTAACTATCTGAACATAGTATTGGTGTTTTCCTCTAGGCTGCTTCAAGTTAACCCTCTCTCTTTTTCTTCCCCTTCTGAGGTATTGAAACTCTTTTCATATAAGACGATTCTCAGAAAACTATCATCACCATCATTCTGCTTTGCTTATGTCTCTCTTAGAGTATGACACCCATAATTGAACATTATGTTTGAGTTGAGGGCATAATCCCATGGAAATAACCAGATCAAGCTACCACTGGCAGGTAGTAGAAATATCTAAGACGAAGATGGTTTCAAAACCACCTTCCAGGTTAACTGCATTGTAACTAAAGAGCTATACAATAAATTATGATTAAAATTACATTTCACATTTACAAATTTAAAATAGACCAAGAAGGCTAGGCACAGTGGCTCGTGCCTGTAATCTCAACACTTTGGGAGGCTGAGGAGGGAAGATCACTTGATCCCAATCAGCCTAGGCAATATGGCAAGACCCTGTCTCAGCCGGGTGCGGTGGCTCACGCCTGTAACCTCAGCACTTTGGGAGGCCAAGACGGGAGGATCACGAAGTCAGGAGATCGAGACCATCCTGCCTAACATGGTGAAACTCCGTCTCTACTAAAAATACAAAAAAATTAGCTGGACCTGGTGGTGGGCGCCTGTAGTTCCAGCTACTCGGGACGCTGAGGCAGGAGAATGGCGTGAACCTGGGAGGTGGAACTTGCAGTGAGCCGAGATAGTGCCACTGCACTCCAGCCTGGGTAACAGAGAGAGACTCTGTCTCAAAAAAAAAAAAAAACCCTGTCTCTACAAAAAATAAAATTAGCTGGACATGGTGGCTCACGCCTGTAGTCCTAGCTGCTCAGGAGGCTGAGGTAGGAGGATCACTTGAGCCCAGGAGTTCAAGGTTGCAGTGAGCTGTGATGGTGTCTCTGCACTCAAATCTGAGAGACAAAGGAAGACCTCTTCTAAAAAAATAAAATTAAGAAGAAGAACAGGCAATTAACAGAAGTGTATGACTATATGAAGAAATGTTCTGAAACAAAATATTCAAGTTTGTAACCAGAGAAATTAAAATTAAACAATAAGATAATATTTTCCATCCATCAGCATGGCAAAAATTAGAAAGATGGATAATACCAAGTGTTGGTAAAGATGTGAAGAGATGAGAACTCTCATGCATAGCTGACAGGAATTCAATCTGGTCTACCCATTCTGGGAAGCAACAAGGCAATATTTAATAAATAATGTACATACCTGTGACTCAACAGCACTATTCCTGGGGGCGTCCAAGAGAAATTCCCACACAGGTTCATCATTGCTTTGTCGTAGCTAGATGTTGGATTGGAACCAATCTAAGCATCTATTACTAGGAGAATAAGTAAATAAAATACAATGGATGCTCACTGAGTTAGAGCAGATCAGAAAGGGTTGGCTTGGGTTTGAAAATTGGCTATTATGACAACTCAGACCCAAGTTAAGGTTGTTAGCACTTCTGTTTATTAATAAACTGGGGCCAGGTGCGGTGGCTTAAGCCTGTAATCCCAGCACTTTGGGAGGCCATGGCGGGTGGATCAATTGAGGTCAGGAGTTTGAGACTAGCCTGGAAAACATGGTAAAACCCCGTATCTACTAAAAATAAAAAAAAAAAATTAGCCAGGCGTGGTGGTGTAGGCCTGTAATCCCAGCTACTCGGGAGACTGAGGCAGGAGAATCGCTTGAACCCAGGAGGCAGAGGTTGCAGTGAGCTGAGATCATGCCACTGCACTCCAGCCTGGGTGACAGAGCAAGACTCCCGCTCAAAAAAAATATAAAAATAAAAATAACAAATTGGCAAACAAGCTAAGCAAAGAACAATGATACAGGCATGCAATGTGAAATAAGCACATAAGCAAAGAACAATGCTTTTCTAGTTCCTCACAGAAACATGCCTAAGTTCTGGTGATCACCGCAGGCCTTACCCATGGCCTATCCCACATTCATAGGGAGAAAACTGGTCTAATGAGGTCAGAGTTGGGACTAGCTTTTTTTTTTTTTTTTTTTGAGACGAATTCTCGGTCTTATTCTCCAGGCTGGAGTGCAGTGGCATGACCTCGGCTCACTGCAACCTCCGCCTCCCAGGTTCAAGTGATTCTCCTGCCTCAGCCTCCCGAGGAGCTGGGATTACAGGTGCATGCCACCACACCTGGCTAATTTTTGTATTTTTAGTAGAGATGGGGTTTCACCATGTTGGCCAGGCTGGTCTCAAACTCCTGACCTCAGGCGATCCACCCACCTTGGCCTCCCGAAGTGCTGGGATTACAGGCGTGAGCCACCGCACCCAGCCTGGGACTAGCTTTTTTTTGTAGGATTAACCACAGGAGGAGGCCAGGTCAGCATTCAAGGGCCTACCGTATACCATATAAGAAAGTTTCTTGTATTATTGGGCCGATAGCAGGCTTGCCCGTGGCCTATCCCACATGCACTATTAAGCCCCTAACTAGCTACACCTTCAGCAACATAGTGAACTGAAACAAAGGAAACAGAAAATGAATTATAGGCTGGGCGTGGTGGTCACACCTGTAATCCCAGCACTTTGGGAGGCCTAGGCAGGCAGATCACGAGGTCAGGAGTTTGAGACTGGCCTGTCCAACATGGTGAAACCCTGTCTCTACTAAAAATACAAAAATTAGCCAGATGTGGTGGCAGGCGCCTGTAATCGCAGCTACTCGGGAGACTGAGACAGAATTGCTTGCACCTGGGAGGTGGAGGTTGCAGTAAGCCGAGATCATACCACTGCACTCCAGCGTGAGTGACAGAGCAAGACTCTATCTCATTAAAAAAAAAAAAAGATTTATAATACAATGCCATTCAGGTAAATTACAAACAACAACTTTCTTTTATGAGGTTTCACACATGTTTAATAACATACATCAAACATATTACACATGAAACCTATGGAAGAAGAAGGCAATGAGAGGGAAGAAGGGGGAAAAATAGGCTGGGTACAGTGGCTCACGCCTGTAATCCCAGCACTTTGGGAGGCCGAGGCGGGCTGATTACCTGATGTCAGGAGTTCAAGACCAGCCTGGCCAACATGATGAAACCCCGTCTCTACAAAAATACAAAAATTAGCTGGGCATGATGGCAGGTGCCTGTAATCCTAGCTACTCGGGAGGCTGAGGCAGGAGAATTGCTTGAATCTGGGAGGTGAAGGTTGCATTGAGCCGAGATCGTGCCATTGCATTCCAGCCTGGGCGACAGAGCGAGACTCTGTCTCAAAAAAAAAAAAGAAGGGGGAAAAATATAAAATGAGTAGGACCTTGCACAGACCACATAGTCAGTGGTCAATGTGCTAGAAAGTGAGGAATGTGATTAACTCAGTGCTCAGCATCCCAGATCTAAATTTTTAAACAAATTGAGAAGATCAAATTGCACATGGAGGTAGATGACATTGATATTGATACTCTTTATAGTTATCATTTGCAGAAAAATATCAAAATGAGAAGAAAAACCCTAAATATTTGGTTTGGATCAATACAAAAAATATAGATTCTGGCTGTTTCTTTTATGCCTAACTGCCACATAGCATAACAATAGTCATGCAAATTTAAAAATGTGACAGATTTATTTCATCATATGAACTTGGCCATGGACTTTATGGAATTGTCAGTTTCTGAAGCTTGGTGCTCAACTCTCAGCTGTCAGCTCTTTCCCCTCCCTGTCTGGTGCTAGCTGTTTGGAAAAATCCAGTTATTTGCAAGCTACCTCACCTTTTTCCTGGAGCCAGAGAAAGAGTAGAAGTATAGGTTATCAAAAGCCCTTACACACCTGCTAATTGAGTCAGTCACTGTCAAGACAATATCTAAAAGCAGCCATCTCTGTTGGCCAAAATACCTCCAAGAAAAATAACTTAGGGGCCGGGCGCAGTGGCTCACACCTGTAATCCCAGCACTTTGGGAGGCCAAGGTGGGCGGATCACGAGGTCAGAAGATCGAGACCATCCTGGCCAACATGGTGAAACCCTGTCTCTACTAAAAATACAAAAAATTAGCCGGGCATGGTGGTGTGCGCCTGTAGTCTCAGCTACTGCAGAGGCTGAGGCAGGAGAATCGCTTGAATCTGGGAGGTGGAGGTTGCAGTGAGCTGAGATCGCGCCACTGCACTCCAGCCTGGGTGACAGAGCAAGATTCTGTCTCAAAAAATAATAATAATAACTTAAAGGAGTATAATTTTACTGTTTGTAACTCAAAGGATAAATGCTTGGGGGGATGGATACCCCATTTTCCATGATGTGCTTCTTTCACATTTCATGTCTGTATCAAAACACCTCATGTACCCAATAAATATATACACCTACTATGTACCCACAAACATTGAAAATAAAAATAAAAGAAAAAATACTCCCAAGAGGAAGCCAGACTTTTGCCCATGTAGCTTATGCATTCAGGGTTCCACTACCTTTTGCCCTCCCTCAGGGCACTGGTGTCCACAGGGCAAACCTGCCCTGTGTCCTTGAAGGCCAAATAGGGATGCTATTTCTTTCTTTCTTTTTTTTTTTTTTCTTTTTTTGAGATGGAGTCTTACCCAGTCGCCCAGGCTGGAGGGCAGTGGCACAATCTCAGCTCACTGCAACCTCCACCTCCCGGGTTCGAGTCATTCTTCTGCCTCAGCCTCCTGAGTAGCTGGGATTACAGGTGTACAGCTACACAAAGAAGCAGGCACAGTGAGGGCGACTGAGAGCAGTAGCACTTGGTTTCTGGGCCACCTCTGGACCCCAGAGCTGGATGGGATCCCAAGTCCAGTGCTGGCCACCATGGTGCTATAGGCTACAGAATCTCTTTGGGGTCCGGCAGGGGCAGTGATGGACTCACTGCTTGGCCTAACAGACTGAATCTGTGGCCTGTTGCTTTCCCCAGATCCCTGAGCCTGTTTCTCTAGCCTTCCCAGTAATTCTGAGAGCTTCCCAATAGCCTTTCAGTAAATGTATGTTCTGCTTCTAAATGCCAAATATCAGTTTCTGTTGCAACCAAAACCCGTGACTGATACACTTGTTTCTGGTAAAATTCCCAGGATGACTCCAGCTCTACCTGACATTTGTGCACGTCCACTTCCTCTTTCCCACCTTCTGCTGACCTTGCCACTTGAATGTGCTGCACCTCTGCTGAAACTTGGCTCCTGCCTGCCCTCCAAGGCTGCTGCAGCCTCGGTTCCTCTTTCCTGGGTCTCCACTGCCTCTTTCTAGCCCCCTCTACCCCAGGTTCAGGTGACCTGTGCTCCCAGCCCATCCTGAGGCCTAGACAGGTTGGGCAGTCATCCTAACCCTGTCATGATGTCAGCAGTGGGCCTCGTGCTGGCAGGGCAGAGTCCTCAGATGCTGGAAGGGAGGGTCACCAGGAGGAAAGAGGGACACAGGCAAAGAGATAGGAAAGTTGCAGAGGCTCCCTTTTTTGTTTGTTTGCTTGTTTGTTTGTTTGCTTGTTTTGAGACTCAGTCTTGCTCTGTCCAGGCTGGAGTGCAGTGGCACCATCTTGGCCCACTGCAACCTCTGCCTCCTGGGTTCAAGCTGATTCTCCTGCCTCAGCCTCCCGTGTAGCTGGGATTACAGGTGTGTGCCATCACACCCAGCTAATTTCTTTTTAGGCGGGTCTCACTCTGTCACCCAGGCTGGAATACAATAGCTCAATCATAACTAACTGTGGCCTCAAACTCCTGTGCTCAAGTGATCATCCTGCCTCAGCCTCCCAAGTAGCTGAGATTACAGGTGTGAGTCACTACACCCAGCTAATTTTTTTTTTTTTTAAGTGGAGATGGGGTCTCACTATGTTTCCCAGGCTGGTCTTGAACTCCTGGCCTCAAGCAGTCCTCCTGCCTCAGCCTCCCAAAGTTCTGGAATTAGAGGCGTGAGCCACCATGCCTGGGGTATTTTTATATTTTATCTAACAACATGAGTTTTCATTTATGGAGTTCCTGCATTGTTCTGGCCCTTTAGAGGCATGACTTCACAATAATACATTGATGTAGGAACTATGATCATCCCCATTTTCAGATGAAGAAACAAGTGTTTAAATAGGTTAAAAGAGGCCGGGCATGGTGTCTCACACCTGTAATCCCAGCACTTTGGAAGACCAAATCTGGCACATTGCTTGAGGCCCAGGGTTCAAGACCAGACTGGGCAACATGGTGAAACCCCGTCTCTACAAAAAATACAAAAATTAGCAGGGCAAGGTGGTATGCACCTGTAGTCCCAGCTGGTAGGGAGGCTGAGGTGGGAGGATTGCTTGAGCCTGGGAGGCGGAGGTTGCAGTGAACCGAGATTGCACCACCACACTCCAGCCTGGGCAGCAGAGCAAGACTCTATCTCAAAAAAAAAAAAAAGAAAAGAAAAGAAAAAGATGTGAAAAGACATGGAAGGTGGGGTGCAGTGGCTCATGCCTGTAATCCCAGCACTTTGGGAAGCTGAGGCGAGTGGATCACCTGACATCAGGAGTTCGAGACCAGCCTGGCCAATATGGTGAAACGCCATCTCTACTAAAAATACAAAAATTAGCCAGGCATGGTGGCGGGCACCTGTAATCTCAGCTACTCAGGAGGCTGAGGCAGGAGAATCATTGAACCCAAGAGGAGGAGGCTGCAGTGAGCTGAGATTGCACCACTGCACTCCAGCCTGGGCAACAGAGCAAGACTCCGTCTCAAAAAAAAAAGAAAAAAAGAGATGGAATGTGATGATGCCTGGTATTTCCTTCAAAATAAGTGGGAGCAAAGGGGATAAGTAGAGTATAGATGAAATAAAGTTACAGTGGGTTAATGATTATTCAAGCTGGATAATGAGTATATGGAGGTTCATCATACTAATGTGTGTCATTCATATATATTTGAAGCTTTCCATAATTAAAAGTTGTTTTTAGTCTGATCTAAGTCATACAACTATAAATGATGAAATTAGGTTTTGATCCCAGGCCCTCCTAACTTCAGAGCCTGCTCTCTTAACCTCTATGCTGGATACCTGGCAAGGTGCCTAAAAAGAGCTAAGCAGAAAAGATAAGTGATTTTCAGAGAATTCAGAAGGGATTTGGAAGCCTCTCAATTAATTTCTGCTCCGTTTTCTAGGTACTTCATGGGAAGGATCAACATAAGTAGAGCCAGATATTAATACCCCTCACCCAGAGCTTCTTATACAGAAGATGCCCTCCTTTTTTCTGCCTGCTTCTGAGTAGGTGCAGAAGCACCCATGAGAGAGTGGTTGGCAGCCAAAGTTTTCTAAAAACACCCAGGCAACAGCTGTCCTTGGCTGTCACCTGACTCACCAGGCCCTGAGTCAGCACCACTCCCCGACACAGCCTCCCCTGCTGAGCCAGATCTGACCTGCCCTTTCCTGGCTGAGCTGAACTAGTTGGGCCAGCCCAGCCCTGCACTATCCCAGCATTCTCCTCAGTGGGCAGCTTCTTGCTCCCTTACATGCATCTGGAGTTCCCACCCATGTGCTACCCTTGTCATCCAGGGCAGCAACCATATGCCTGAAACTCTAGCTCTGAAGAGAGCTAAAAGGCCCGCTCCATGTCCTCAGAGGCATGAACAGGGATCTGGAATCTGTGTCTGGATACAGATGACATAGGATGGCCTGGGCGCCAGCATCTTCCACCATCTGCAGAGGAAAGTCTTCCCTCTCTGGGTATCTCTGGGATTTGCTTTAGGCAAATAACCAGAATGAAATGTAAAGACACCCCCCTATTCCTGCAGAGCAGGATTCTAACACTAGGTTCAGTCCCAGAAGAGAACAAGTCTGGGGCAATATGAAGACCAAGATTTTGCTTCTGTGTTTGGTCTGTGTTTCTGTGAAAAACTCTCATGGATCATCTCATCTCAGCCTTTTCTTGGCCTAAACATGAAGCTACAGTAAGTGCTGACATATTCTCCAGGCATTCGTAGAGACTGAGCCTGGCACCATAATTGGAGGACACAGACACTGACCTCATTCCTAAGTCATTAAGGTGACACCTGCTTCCAACCTCAGACCTCCAGGCCACCCTGCTCTGAATCCTGGCCCTGCCACTGAGGCATACATGATCTTGAGCTAGTAACTAACCTTTGTGAGTCTCAGTTTTTCTCATCCGTACAGTAGGAATACAATACCTACCTTGCAGGTTGTCGTGAGGGTCAGACAAAGTAGTGCATGTGAAGCACTTTGTGGGTGAACAATAAAAATCTGTGTCCTTGCCTGGTGCAGTGGTGCATGCCTATAATCCCAGTACTTTGGGATGCTGAGGCCGGAGGATGGCTTGAGCCCAGGAGTTTGAGACCAGCTTGGGTAACATGGCGAAACCCTCTCTCTATAAATCCGGAAAAAATGGCAGGTGCAGTGGTGCATGCATGTAGTCTCAGCTACTCAGGAGGCTGAGGTGGGAGGATTGCTTGAGCCCAGGAGTCAGAGGTTGCAGTGAGCTGAGATCATACCACTGCATTCCAGCCCAGGCGACAGAGTAAGACCTTGTTTTAAAAAAAGGCTGGGTGCAGTGGCTCCTGCCTGTAATCCCAGCACTTTGGGAGGCCAAGGCAGGCAGATCACAAGGTCAAGAGATCGAGACCATCCTGGCCAGCATGGTGAAATGCCATCTCTATTAAAATTTAAAAAATTAGCTGGGCATGGTGGCATGTGCCTGTAGTCCCAGCAACTCAGGAGGCTGAGGCAGGAGAATTGCTTGAACCCGGGAGTCGGAGGTTGCAGTGAGCTGAGATTGCGCCACTGCAACCCTGCCTGGCGACAGAGCAAGACTCTATCTAAAAAAAAAAAAAAAAAAAAAATCAGTGTCTTTCACTTTGCCTTGTTCCTTGGGACCAGCTCTTATTCAAACTGTACTGATATCAAAGCTTTTAGGCCTGAGACCAAGCTCTGCCCAGCTCTCCACTCTTGATTCTGGGCATTCACACCAGAGTCCCAATACCTTCCCACTGATTCCCACGTCAAAAGACAAAATTCCAACAAATTTAGTTTAAACATTTTAACTGGCTTTCATTTGAAATTCCAGAATTGGGCAATATCTCATTCTACAAGGCAGAGTGAATGTTCCCATGAGCCGAGCAGAGGAGGTTGGTTTTAGAGACAGAAAGCAGAAACAAAACGAAAAGTGGATTCGTCGTTTCAAAGTTACTTTTCTCATAAAGGTTAAAGCAGAGGGGACTTCCTTATCACGCTGGCTAAAACTGGCCTTTTTGGAAATTTGGCTATTATCTCTCATTCTCCTGATTTCTTAGAAGGTCAGATAAACTTAATTTCAGCTTGGTGACATGAAACTTCAGCATGAGTAACTTCATTTTGGTTTGGTCTGTTGGACCTAGTGCAGGAGCTCAGTCCAAACCAATGGTCTCCAATAAATTGTATTTATACCTACATGGGCCAGTTGTTTTCTGGTCGTCTGCCAGCCCAGACCACACCACAGTCCTGACTTCATAATTCCATGCACTTTTTTTTTTTTTGAGATGAAGTCTCACCCTGTATCCTAGGCTGTAGCTTAATGGCATGATTTCGGCTCACTGCAAACTCCGCCTCACGGGTTCAAGCGATTCTCCTGCCTCAGTCTCCCAAGTAGTTGGGATTACAGGTACCCGCCACCATGCCCGGCTGACTTTTGTATTTTTATTAGAGACGTGGTTTCACCATGTTGGCCAGGCTGGTCTCAAACTCCTGACCTCAAGTGATCTGCCCGCTTTGGCCTCCTAAAATGCTGGGATTACAGGCGTGAGCCACCATGCCCAGCCCTTCATAATTCCATGCACTCTTAATTTGTGTCTGTCCCACTGGCTACTACCACACAGTTGGATCTGATAATTTCTGTGTACTCTCTCACTAACTCATTCCCTTCTTCCTCCTTTTCTTTAGCCTTAAAACTCCTGAAGGTGGGTTTTCCAGGGCCCCTTCTCCCATCACTGCCTTTTGTGTATTCTCATTGCTAAGGACCCACTGTCTTGAGTCTCCTGCAGGCAAACAGCCAGCTCTACCCCTTCCCCTTCTTTCCTCCAGGCTCCCCTGCCAGGGGAGGGATGTTATAGCTCTCTTACCAGCGTCAGGACTTTGTCTAATCACTCCAGTTTTTCAATCTCTCTTAAAGTGTGGGAGCCACAATCAGGCATGATATGCCAGGCATGGTTTGACCTGGTGTAGTAGAAAAGACGACCACATTTTTCATTGTACACATGTACTGGTGTTAATGTAACCTAAGTGTAGATTAGGATTTTGGCAACTGTGTCATGATGTTTGCTCTAATAGGTTTGTGGCCAGCTAAAAATCCTAGGCCTTTTTTCACAAACTGCAGATAAGTCTCTACATTTTGTACTGATATAGCTGACTTAATAATATCTAACTTTAATAATTCCTTAAAAATAATTTTTTTATGTTTTTGAGGCAGGGTCTCACTCTGTTGCCCAGGCTGGAGTACAGTGGCGCAGTCTCGGCTCTCTGTAGCCTCAACCTCCTGGGCTCAAGCAATCCTCCCACCTCAGCCCCTCAAGTAGCTGGGACTAAAGGAGCACACCACCACACCCTGCTAATTTTTGTATTTTTTGTAGAGACAGGGTTTTGCCATATTGCCCAGGCTGTTTTTGAACTCCTGAGTTCAAATGATCCTCCTGCCTCAGCCTCCCAAAGTACTGGGATTACAGGTATGTACCACCACACCCAGCCTAACTTTAATAATTCATCAATTTATCACTATTATAAATAACTTTGGTTCTTTAACAAATAAATTGTGAGGAAAAAAAAAGTGTCAGAGGGGTGATTTGTAGATAAAAGAGACTTTCAACCAATTGCAATGTGTGGGCCGGGAGCAGTGGCACACACCTGTAATCCCAGCACTTTAGGAGGCCGAGGCGGGCAGATCATGTCAGGCCAGGAGTTTGAGACCAGCCTGGGCAATGTGATGAGCTTTATCTCCACAAAATTAATAATACAAAAAAATCAGCTGGGTATGGTGGTGCATGCCTGTGGTCCCAGCTATTTGGGAGGCTGAAGTGGGAGGATTACCTGAGACCAGGAGGCAGAGGTTGCAGTGTGCCAAGACTGTGCCACTGCACTGCAGCCTGGGTGGAAACCTTGTCTCTCTCTCTCTGTCTCTCTCTCTCTGTCTCTGTCTCTGTCTCTCTCTCTCTCTCTCTCTCTCTCTCTCTCTATATATATATATATATATTTATGTATATATGTGTGTGTATATATATATGTGTTTATGTATATATATATATATATTTTTTTTTTTTTTTTTTTTTGAGACATAGTCTCACTGCAATGCCTAGGCTGGAGTGCAATGGTACAATCTCAGCTCACTGCAACCTCCACCTCCCAGGTTCAAGTAATTCTCCTGCCTCAGGCTCCTGAGCATTTGGGATTACAGGCAACTGCCACCACACCCAGATAATTTTTGTATTTTTAGTAGAGACGGGGTTTCACCATATTGGCCAGGCTGGTCTTGAACTCCTGACCTCAAGTGATCTGCCTGCCTTGGCCTCCCAAAGTGCTGAGATTACAGGCATATGCCACCAGGCCCGGCCTCACCTCCTCATTTTAAAATTGATAATATAACCAGGAGATGATTGGTCTTTGCTCTCACTCCTTATACAACTCAAGTCCAAACTGAGAACTTTGTTTGCATCCCCTCCAATACATCCAAATTCAAAAATACCTATGACTAAGGAGATTTTACTGAAGGCTTCATGGGAAGACAGAAGAGGATTACATCACACACCATAAAGCAAAGCTTAATTAGATCCCTCCACTCCACTAGCTAAACCTGTTCTCCCTCCAAAAGTTTTCTCCCTTACTACCATATTGCCAACTTTCCTCCCTTCATCTCTTTCCGTATACAACTTCTGAATTCCCTCTTTTCTTCCAGACCATTCAGTTATGGTCCCAAGTTTATCACCTCATATCATTTGCATTCAACAAAACAAAAGCACAATAGTTACCTAAAAAGCAACTATTTTTCCTCAAGCATGCTCCTTGGGAAAGTGGGAGGTATCTCAGTTCATGGCAATAGAGCCCATGTCAATAATAAATATTTCCTGGAGGCTTGTTAAGAATAAGATGCTGGGCTAAGCATCTGACAAAATGATCTCATGTCATGTAGTTCATTAGTGGCAAATCTAGTATAGAACTTTAATTAGAAAGGTTAAATCACAACTTTTTTTTTTTTTTTTTTTGAGACAGAGTCTCGCTCCCACTGTCACCTGGGCTGGAGTGCAGTGGTACGATCTCAGCTCACTGCAACCTCTGCCTCTCGGGTTCAAGTGATTCCCCTGCGTCAGCCTCCCGAGTAGCTGGGACTATAGGCACCTGCCACCACGCCCAGCTAATTTTGTGTATTTTTAGTAGAGATGGGGTTTCGCCATGTTGGCCAGGCTGGTCTCGAACTCCTGACCTCGTGATTCGCCCGCCTCGGCCTCCCAAAGTATTGGGATTACAGGTGTGAGCCACCGTGCCTGGCCTAAATCACAACTTCTGAGCCACTCATATTCATGTTCTTCAGTTTTTTGTTTGTTTGTTTGTTTTTGCTTAACAGCCCTGTAGGCTAGATGGAAAAGGTACATTATTTCATTTTCTAAAGATAGGGAAATCGAGAGACAGTGACTGAGGGACTTTGCAACTTAGGTAGTGAGAGGTCTTGATCCATGTCTAGGTTATTTTGTCTTTTGCAGGATGTATGAAATTGTGGCCAAATTCACATGGAAAATGTAACGAGTAAGGGACACTGTGTAATCTAAGACACTGTTATGTGAGGTCAAGTAGAAAGGACCGAAGCATTATGATTGATAAGGAGTACCGAGAAGAGAAGTGGGAGAGGACAGACTGTCAGTGTTTCTCCCACGGTGACAGGGAAGAGAGGCCAGTGCTGGGCAAGGCAGGATCCTGTTTGGCAAGGGATGCCTGTCCCTGTGTGGGAAAGCATGACTCATCGGGGTGCCATAGCTCAGTGACACAGGCTCTTAAGATCTTTCAAGTCCCCTTAGCCCTACTCTGTATTTACAAAGTGACTCTTGGATATACTTTGAGCTTCTGAAGTGTGCCTTCCACAAAGCAAGGAATGTGCTGACAGGGGTTTCTTCGGGCCTATTGTCAATTACATTTCACAGAATGAATGAATAATGCTGCATCTGGTTTCTCCCTCGTGGGTTTGGTTTAGAGCGAGTTTATTCATTCAACATCAGTTCAACAAATATTTATTGAGTGCCATTTACGTGCCAGGCATTGGTCGGAGCCCTTGTGACACAGTCAGATAAGATCTCTATCCTCACAGAGTGCACGCGCTGATGAGGGGATGACGCATAAGAGAAAAACAAACATATCAATAGATAACTTCAAACTGATAGTCCACACCTGGGGTTACTGAATTCCTGCACACAGGCTCAGCTGTACCCGAGGTTCTAAGACCCTCCCTGTCTCATGCATACCAGGAAGACTTAAGAAGCTTTAGCTCAATCTCAGAGGATTTAGCAGATCAAATTTCCCTCTAGTCTGACCTGGCCCCTGAGAGGCCGTGTTTAGACTTAAGACCCACTACTTCTCTCACTGCTGCAGGTTTAGCCTCACAGCCTCAGTGTGTGTCACTCTATGCCCAGTGGGTTGGAAGGTCTTTCTACTCTAGTTAATGGGAACACCAGCTCTCCCCAGCCTGTGTAAGCTCTGCTGACGGATCCATTTCCTCCTCCTCTCCAGGGTTCCTTTCCCCAGTGTGTCAGTAGTTTCTTCACACACGTGACTGATTGGAACCCAAAGAATCAGGGGAAGCCAGGCGCAATAACTCACGCCTGTAATCCCAGCCCTCTGGGAGGCTGAGGCAGGCAGATAACCTGAGCTCAGGAGTTTGAGACCAACCTGGGCAACATGATGAAATCCTGTCTCTACAAAACATACAAAAAGTAGCCAGGTGTGGTGGCTTGCACCTATAGTCCCAGCTACTCAGGAGGTTGAGGCTGCAGTGAGCCATGTTCGCACCACTGCACTCCAGCCTCGGTGACAAAGTGAGACCCTGTCTCAAAAATAAAAAAGTCAGGGGACTCCTCTGCAGGTCTCCAGGAGCCCACGTTCTCTGTGCTATAGCTTGGACACTCTCTCCAGCTGGGACATCTGCTCTGCTCACCTCCTTGGTTTCCCTTCTCTTAAGGATCACTGTCCTGAGTTCCCTGTTGACCAATGACCAATGTCTTAAAACCACTGTTTCATATATTTCATTCAACTTTTTGCTTGATTAAGGAGAGGATAAATCTAGACCCCATTCCTTCATCATGGCAAAAAGTAGACATTGTCTTCTTCTGTTAAGTAATTGTTTTTATTGAAGCATCACACACATACACAAAAGCACACAAATCCTAAGTGTATACAGCTCAATAAACTTTCACAAAATAAACACACCTGTGCAACCACCTCTCACATTAATAAATAGAATATTACCAGCACATCAGAAACGCCATGCTCCTTTCCAATCACTACCCATCCTCACGGGGGAGCCACTTTTCTAATTTTTAACACCATAGTGCCTGTTTTTGAACTTGCAGTATGTATTCTTTTGTGTCTGACCTTTTCTGTGTGTTGTGTGAAGAAATAATTCCTTTCACTGCTATGTAACATCCCATTTTATTTTATTTTATTTATTTTTCGAGATGGAGTTTCACTCTTGTTGCTCAGGCTGGATGGAGTACAATGGTGCAATCTTGGCTCACTGCAACCTCCGCCTCCCGGGTTCAAGCGATTCTCCTGCCTCAGCCTCCCAAGTAGCTGGGATTATAGGCATGCACCACCACAGCCAGCTAATTTTGTATTTTTTGTAGAGATGGGGTTTCTCCATGTTGGTCAGGCTGATCTCGAACTCCCGACCTCAGGTGATCCACCCAGCTAGGCCTCCCAAAGTGCTGGGATTACAGGCATGAGCCACCTCACCCGGCCTACATCTCATTTTATTTTATTTTATTTTATTTTTATTTATTTATTTATTTTGAGACGGAGTCTTGCTCTGTCACCCAGGCTGGAGTGCATTTGCGAGTTCTCGGCTCACTGCAAGCTCCGCCTCCCAGTTCACGCCATTCGCCTGCCTCAGCCTCCTGAGAAGGTGGGACTACAGGTGCCCCTACCACGTTCGGCTAATTTTTTGTATTTTTAATGGAGATGGGGTTTCACCGTGTTAGCCAGGATGGTCTCGATCTCCTGACCTCATGATCTGCCTGCCTTGGCCTCCCAAAGTGCTGGGATTACAGGCGTGAGCCACCGTGCCCAGCCATTTGTATTTTCTTGAGACGGAGTTGTGCTCTTATTGCCCAGGCTGGAGGGCAATGGCACAATCTCAGCTCACTGCAACCTCCACCTCCCGGGTTCAAGCAATTCTCCTGCCTCAGCCTCCCAAGTAGCTGTGATTACAGGCATGTGCCACCACACCCGGCTAATTTTGTATTTTTAGTAGAGATGGGGTTTCACCATGTTGGTCAGGCTGGTCTCGAACTCCTGACCTCAGGTGATCCACCCACCTTGGCCTCCCAAAGTGCTGGGATTACAAGCATGAGCCACTGTGCCCATCCCCATTTTATTAATATACCATATTATTCATCTATTCTAAGGTTGATGGGTATTTGAGTTGTTTCTAGTTTGGGGCTATTATAAATAGTGCTGCTGTGAACATTTTTGCACTTTTTTTGAAGCCTATGTATGTATGCATATTTCTAGGAGTACATGTGTATGTATTTCTAGGAACTGCTAGATCATGACTAGGTATCTCTTCTACTTTAGTAGATACCGCTAGTTTCCCAAAGTAGCTATCCAGTTTACACTCCCACTAGCAATGTATGAGAGTTCCAGTTGCTCCACATCTTCACCAACACTTAGTATTGTGTATTTTTCATCTTAGCTGTTCTAATGGACTTTACTTACATTACCTTTTAGAACACCCCACAGGCATAATAAAACTACCAAGCTTAATGAGCTGGCAATGTGCCAGTTCGAGACTCCTGTATGTCAGGTCTTCCATATGCATTCTGTTATGTTTGTGTTCACCAGGATTATATTTGGGCAGAATTTGAGAACTAAGTGTTAGATGTTGCACCATATAAAGAAATGGGGGGAGGAAAGGCAAACAAGGGCAGTTGTGGCAGGGGAAGCAATATGTGGAAAGGAAGGAAGTCATAAAAGGGCTTGGCTCGGGGCTGCCTGGTACAATTGTGCATGATTCTTGGAGTTGTTATTCACTCCTTTGTCTATGGGAATAGCACCTCCTGGAACTGTGCAGTGCACAACCTATGAAGCTGCACACAGCAGCCATGCCTGTCATGGTCAGGGATAAAAAGAACTTTGGTGTGTCTGGAAGGCAGGATGGGTAGGGTAGAGGAGCAGGAGAAGCCAGATTCAGAGATGGGGCAATATAACTGACTCAGCCTTTGTCAGATGTCAGAGGCTTCCTTTGAAACTCCACCCTACCATCAGCCCTCCCCTGCTAGCAGGATTGTACAAGCTTCCTCCTCTTGGATACCTCACCCCTCTGAACCAACAGAGCTGCCACTGAATTGGGGCTGAGGTGAACCCATGCCAGGAAGGAGAAATGCTGAGCAAGCCCTGGCTTGTCTTGCTTCATGACTCTGATTTCAACAAACTGAGGAACCAACACCCTGGCCTTCCCCTATCTTGGGCTTCCTCTTTGCCTACAGCTTCAGTGTACTATTCTGCCTGGGAAAACCAGATAAACTGGGGTGGGAAGCGGTGCCCCACCCACTCAACACCCTAGGTTTGTGTTACTGAGTCACCAGGGTGGTTTCTGAGGACACAAGAAAGTAACAGGAGAATCCTGGGGCTCCCAGGCATCATCCTCATGGCCTGCCAGAGTTAAGGGAACCCCTCTGAAAGAGATCCTTGGGTTGACACTCTTTTGTCTCCTCAGTACATTTTATTCCTGTATGTGGTGTCTTTTTGTTTGTTTGTTTGTTTGTTTGTTTTGGTTTTTTGTTGGTTTTTTTTTTGAGACTGAGTCTCACTTTGTCACCCAGGCTGGAGTGCAGTGGCACGATCTCAGCTCGCTGCAAACCTCCGCCTCCCGGATTCAAGTGATTCTCTTGTCTCAGCCTCCTGAGTAGCTGGGATTACAGGCATGCGCCACCATTCCCTGCTAAGTTTTGTATTTTTATTGGAGATGAGGTTTTGCCATATTGGCCAGACTGGTCTCAAACTCCTGACCTTAGGTGATCCACACACCTCGGCCTCTTAAAGTGCTGGGATTACAAGCATGAGCCACCATGCCCAGCCAGAAGATTACTTTTGGTTACTTTGTTTTAGAGACAGGGTCTTGCTATGTTGCCCTGCTGGTCTAAAACCCCTGGGCTCAAGCAATCCTCTCACCTTGGCCTCCTGAGTAGCTGGGACTGTAGGTATGCACACTGCACCCAGCTCAGAAGATCATTTTTAAAACAACCAACAAAGATGTACTGCAGACTTAAAATGTGTTCAACAGTGGGTTAGGCCCTTATAAGGAGTAGAGAACAATAGGCACAAGTTCTTCTCTCAAATAAGCTAATAACTAGAGAAAATTAAAATTAGCATGAACTCCCTGAGCAGACACCAGCTGGGAACAGTGAGAGTGTTAAACATGGCAGGAGGAGAGGAGGAGCTATCTTGAGACGCAACATTGTTTCCATTTCATCTGTAAGTGTTGATGATCCATGAGAGAATTGTCAAATAAACTGTAATATTCTTAAAAAAAAAAAAAAATAGAGGGCTGGGCGCAGTGGCTCACACCTGTAATCCCAGCACTTTGGGAGGCCCAGGTGGGCTGATTGCCTGAGGTCAGGAGTTCGAGACCAATCTGGCCAACATGGCGAAACCCTGTCTCTACTAAAAATGCAAAAAAATTTGCTGGACATGGTAGTGTGCGCCTGTAATCCCAGCTATTCAGGAGGCTGAGGCAGGAGAATTGCTTGAACCAGGTAGGTGGAGGTTGCAGTGAGCTGAGATTGCACCTCTGCACTCCAGCCTGGGCGACAGAGCAAGACTCTGTCACACACACACACACACACACACACACACACACCCACACACACACAAATGGAGATGAGGTCTCACTGTGCTGTCCAGGCTGCTCCTGAACTCCTAGGCTCAAATGATCTTCCTGCCTTGGCCTCCCAAAGTACTGGGATTACAAGTGTGAGCCACCATGCCCGGCTCAACTGTAATATTCCTAAAAAACAACCTAGACAATGAAAGACCATATCTAATTATTATTATTATTGAGATGGGATCTTACTCTGTCACCCAGGCTGGTGTGCAGTGGCACAATCTCGGCTCACTGCAATCTTTGCCTCCCGAGTTCAAGCTACTGTCCTGCCTCAGCCTTTTGAGTAGCTGGGATTACAGGCGCGCACCACCACGCCCAGCTAATTTTTGTATTTTTAGTAGAGATGGGGTTTTACCATGTTGGCCAGGCTGGTCTTGAGCTCCTGACCTCAAGTGATCCACCTGCCTCACCTTCCCAAAGTGCTGGGATTATAGGCGTGAGCCACCAGGCCCAGTCCATATCTAATTAAATGCTAAACTATGTGGCCCATCTAAATGCTGAGAAGGTCTCCAGGTACCCAAGAGGCTCTAGGTGCTGGAAAAAGTCCAATTCCTACTGGGCTGGGGGCTGAAGGAAGGGTAGGCTTGGCTAGACAAAGTGCATCTGACAGGTAAACAGTTGGAGGCAAGTCAAAGAGATTATCTTCTTCAAAATCACTTCCATTTTTGTTGAACTTTAAAGTTTTCAATGAAACTTCATATCTCTAATTTTTTTTTTTTATCTTCTCAGCAGGCTTGAACATTTGGCAGAAGAGAGATTCCCACTCACAAGGAAAGTGAGAACTGAGAGTATCTGTTGATGTTGTTTATTCAACATCCCTTTTCCCTTTTTCTGCAATTAGAACCCTGGTTTTCCTTGGAAAAGCCTGTCTCTTCACTCTCACACCAACCAGGGTCTAACTCCATCCAAACTCCAGGGTAGGCATAACCAGGCCTGGCCTACCACTGGCCAGGGCTCCAGAAATGGGTATGTGACTCAAGTAGGCCAATGAGACTCACAGTCAGAACCTTTGCTGAGGCTGGGCATGGTGGCTCACAGCTGTAATCCCAGCACTTTGGGAGGCCGAGGCGGGCGGATCACCTGAGGTCAGGAGTTCGAGACCAGCCTGGCTAACATGGTGAACCCCCGTCTCTACTAAAAATACAAAAATTAGCCAGGCATGGTGGTCCAGGCGCCTGTAGTCTCAGCTACTTGGGAGGCTGAGGCAGGAGAATTGCTTGAACCTGGGGGGCAGAGGTTGCAGTGAGCTGAGATCACGCCATTGTACTCCAGCCTGGGAGACAGGAATGAAACTCTATCTCAAAAAAAAACAAAAAAACAAAAAAAGAACCTGGCCGGGTGCGATGGCTCACGCCTGTAATTCCAGCACTTTGGGAGGCCGAGGCAGGCAGATCAGGGGATCGGGAGATTGAGACCATCCTGGCTAATACGATGAAACCCTGTCTCTACTAAAAATACAAAAAATTAGCTGGGCGTGGTGGCGGGCACCTGTAGTCCCAGCTACTCAGGAGGCTGAGGCAGGAGAATGGCATGAACCCGGGAGGCAGAGCTTGCAGTGAGCCGAGATCGTGCCACTGCACTCCAACCTGGGCAACAAAGCGACAGAGCAAGATTCCATCTCCAAAAAAAAAAGAACCTTTGCTGAAACAATGGGGGATGATAATAAAACCAACCCAGAGGAAAACAGCCAAGAGACCATTTCCTGGTGACATGGTTCGGGTCCTTAGATCCAGCTGTGCCTGAAGCTTGAGTTATCCTAAAATTTGTCTGAGATAAGCCATTACGTCTCCTCATTTACGTCAGCCGGTTTGAATTTGGTTTCTGTTACTTGCTACCAAAAGAGTACTGACTAATTCAGAAAGCTTAAACAATCTATTTGAATTCAGACAGCTAATAAATGACAAAGAGGGGCCTGGAAGACAGATTTTATGTTTCTGATCCTGTGCTCTTAGATGAAGTGTAATGGCCAGAGTGAAGGTGGGGTGGAAGAGGCAGTGAGGAGAACGCCAAGGCCAGTGTGATGGGGCCTGACTGAAAAACAGGCTAGGGAAGCTAGAATAGGAAACAGGGAGTCACCAAAGGTGCTTGAACACTTCGTGGGTTTTTTTTTTTTCTTTTTTTTTTAGAGATGGGGTTTCGCCATGTTGCCCAGGCAAGTCTCAGACTCCTGAGCTTAAGGGACCTGCCTGCCTTGGCCTCCCAAAGTGCTGGGATTACAGGTGTGAGTCACCACGCCTGGCCATGCTTGAACAATTTAAATGAGACATTTAAAGAAGATAATGAGTACTTCTGTTTCTTTTTTCTTTCTTTTTTTTTGTTTTTGAGACAGAGTCTCACTCTGTCACCCAGGCTGGAGTGCAGTGGCACGATCTCGGCTCATTGCAACCTCTGCCTCCTGGGTTCAAGTGATTCTTCTGCCTCAGTCTCCTAAGTAGCTGGGACTGCAGGCGCGTGCTACTACGCTTGGCTGATTTTTGTGCTTTTAGTAGAGATGGGGTTTCACCATATTGGCGAGGCTGGTCTCGAATTCCTGGCTTCATGATCCACCCGCCTTAGCCTCCTAAAGTTCTGGGATTACAGGCGTGAGCCACCATGCCCAGCCCTTTTTTTTTGAGACGTAGTCTTGCTCTGTCACTCACTGCCTCCCAGGTTCAAGTGATTCTTCTGCCTCAGACTCCTGAATAGCTGGGACTACAGGCACGTGCCACCACGCCCAGCTAATTTTTTGTATTTTTTTAGTAGAGACGGGGGTTCACCATGTTGCTCAGGCTGGTCTTGAACTCCTGACCTTGTGATCCACCTGCCTTGGCCTCCCAAACTGCTGGGATTACAGGAGTGAGCCACTGCGCCCAGCCTTGTGTTCTGTTTCTTAACATGGGGGATGGTTTTAGCTCCCCACATACATTCATTCTAAATTATGCTGATATGTTTTGTATGTACTTCTGAATACATACATGATGTAATTCATCAT
The DNA here is from genome assembly GCF_000001405.40 of Homo sapiens. Classification (NCBI taxonomy): domain Eukaryota; kingdom Metazoa; phylum Chordata; class Mammalia; order Primates; family Hominidae; genus Homo; species Homo sapiens. Next base: position 26,004,590 of record NC_000002.12, on the reverse strand, counting down.
TTTTTTTTTTTTTGAGACAGAGTTTCATTCTGTCACGCAGGCTGGAGCGCAATGATGTGATCCTGGCTCACTGGAACCTCCATATCCCTGGCTCAAGCAATCCTCCCACCTCAGTCTCCTGAGTAGATGGGACTACAGCTGTAACCACACCCAGTTAACTTTTGTATATGTATATATTTTTTGGTAGAGATGAGGTTTCGCCATGTTGCCCAGGCTAGTCCACCTCAGCCTCCCAAAGTCCTGGGATTACAGGCATGAGCCACTGCGCCCAACCATTCATATTATTATTATTATTATTATTGTTATTATTATTATTAATTTAATTAAATTAATTAATTTACTTATTTATTGAGACGGAGTCTCACTCTGTCGCCAGGCTGGAGTGCAGTGGCGCAATCTCAGCTCAGTGCAACCTCCACCTCCTGGGTTCAAGTGATTCTCCTGCTTCAGCCTCCTGAATAGCTGGGACTACAGGCACCCGCCACCACGCCCGGCTAATTTTTGTATCTGTAATAGAGACGGGGTTTCACCATGTTGGCCAGGATAGTCTCAATCTCTTGACCTCGTGATCCACCCACCTCGGCCTCCCAAAGCGCTGGGATTACAGGCGCGAGCCACCGCGCCCAGCCATTTATATTTTTTTGAGACAGAGTTGTGCTCTTGTTGCCCAGGCTGGAGTGCAATGGCACGATCTTGGCTCACTGCAACCTCCGCCTGCCAGGTTCAAGCGATTCTCCTGCTTCAGCCTTCCGAGTAGCTGGGATTACAGGCATGCACCACCCCGCCTGGCTAATTTTTGCAACTTTAGTAGAGACAGGGTTTCACCATGTTAGCCAGACTGGTCTTGAACTCCTGACCTCAGGCAATCTGCATACCTCGGCCTTCCAAAGCACGGGGATTACAGGGGTGAGCCACCGCGCCCGGCCTATTATTATTTTTTTACCCTTATACATAGGTAGGGTTGGTTGGTTGTCGTTTATAATTTTTAAAAATAAAAAAGAAAATAAATGATGTAGTGGTGGTGATCTGCTGAATGGGATGGAGAAGAGAGACCCTGGAGTCAGATGTGGAAAGGAAGCTGGTGCTGAGATGAGAGCTTGGGCTGAAGAAGGTATGGAGTGGGACAGTGGGAACTGTCGGGGAGGGGGATGGGAAGGTAAGAGGTGCCTCACAGAGAACGGGAACAAGGATGTGAGGAAAATGTAACTCCAAATGCTGGTGATGGTGACAGGAACAGGGTAATTGGGAGTGAGAGGCCGGTCTAGGGTAGGGATATTAAGGTGGGTGGTGGCTACATTTTGAATTGGTTCAAATCAAATCAAGTCCAAGCTGTGAGTCTGGCATCATCTGGTTGGAAGCAGCAGAAGCCTATTCATGCTAGCTCAAGATGGGGAACTGGAAAGTCCAAACTGGAAGCTCCTCCCTCTGTAACTTCAGGGCACGTGGTCTTCCTTCTGTTCTTCTCTGCATCTGTTTCTTCTGCTTCCGTGTAGGGAGGGCAGACCTGGCAGAAGCTGGAGTGCCCTGAGAATCCTGTGGGGCGGGAAGCTGCTGAGCAGGGCATGCCAGCTGGACAGGGCATCCAAAGAGTCTCCAGGCCATGAACTGGGTGAAGGAGGACCCCGGTCACCCCAGGCCTGGGGTCAGCAAGGCGTAGGATGTGTGTTCAAGGATAGCAAAAGAAGAGACTGATTTTCATTTGGGAAGGGGAAACAACAAGGTCAAGTTCAGAGAATGAGCAATGCCGGATGAGGATGACAGAAGGCCTTACTGGCCAATGGCATTCTCTTTGGGGTTCCTCCTTTCAGGCTCAAACAGGCTGTGCCATCCTCTCTGCTGCCCTGGCCCCTCCAGACTCCTTTTCCTCACTCCAAACTCCTTAAAAGCCGCCCGTGCCCCCTAGCTCACCTCCTATACACTCCTCCATCGTCAACACCAGGCCCACCCTGCTGACACACCTTAGAAACGGGTTAGCAGTGTCTCCAAGGATTTTCTTGTTGCTATAGCCAGGCAACAGATACTCTTCAGTTGTAATCTTATTTCATTCATTCATTGTTCATTCATTCATTTACATCAACAAATATTTGTTAGGTCCCGACTACTTATTATATCCCCAATACTGGGGATACAATATTGAACAAGTTTGATGAGTTAAAGATTCTCTGTAAAGGCAGCATCTACTTCTCCCACCCAAGGTGCCACACACATGCACATGCATGCAAGCATATATGTTCACTTTTTCTGTTAACATCCTCCCCAAAGCCTCTGACTTGGGGCCCAGCTGCCAGGCATGTGATCTGTGTGGGACACAGACAAATGGGAAGGAAGTTGGGCTGGGAGCCAAAGGAAACTGGGGAGGAAAGGGGGCAGACAGCCCAGAAGAGGCACCCCAGGACGTGCTTATTTGCTAGTGGCCCAGGGAGTGCATAACTCTGAATGGCAAGCACCCAGTGGAGAAGGGCACCCTGCCAGGGTCTCAGGTTCTGGGCCACTTCAGGCAGTTCTTGAGCCAAGGCCCTTCCCAAAGGGTGAGAGAGGCCCCCAGGGGCCTGGTGCCAGCCTTTCCAGGGGCAAGCAGCCCCAGGAACATGCCTGTCACCTCATCCTCCTTTTCTGAGTCCTTGGCTTTGATCCTGGAGCATGCCACTCCCAGGACTACTCCTGGAGAGGGGAGTCTCTGAGCAGGTCCCCGGATTCTGGGCAAAACACTGGCCTCCTACAGTGTAAGGAGCCAACCAGTCAGGGCTCCAGCTGGCTGAACGCCCACGGGTTCTGGCAATAGAAGGTCCCAGAGTCTTGCTTGCTTTCTTTCCTAGGGAATTATATAACATAAGTGAACAATAAAGAGGAAAAGGAGAAAGAATAGGGGAACAGGAGAAGAGAAGAAAGAGTGGGAAAGGAAGAAGGAGGTGGAGGAGAGTAGTTTTTTAAAAACATAACCCTGATCATATCATTTCTCTGCTTAAAACCTTTTGATAATTTCCTGTTGCTCCTTAGATCAGCCCCTCTCTCCCTCCCTCCCTGCCGGTCCGGCCTTACTGGGGTTCCAGGGCCTAGTAGGATATGTTCACACAGGTCTTGTGGGAAATTGCCCCATGGGGTTGCAGCAGCTGAAACAGAGGTAGCACCATAATGGCCCATCATAAGGAGCATGGGGGAACTACAAAAAGGGGGTGGGGGGCTGGGCGTGGTGGCTCACGCCTGTAATCCCAGCATGTGGGGAGGCCGAGGCGGGCAGATCACTTGAGCTTAGGAGTTGGAGAACAGCCTGGCCAACATGGTGAAACCCTGTCTCTACTAAAAATACAAAAATTAGCCAGACGTGGTGGTGCGTGCCTGTAATCCCAGTTTCTCAGGAGGCTGAGGTGGGAGGATCATTTGAACCTGGGAGGTGGAGGTTGCAGTGAGCAGAGATCGCACCTCTGCACTCCAGCCTGGGTGACAAGAGTGAGACTCAAAAAAAAAAAAAGGGGGGGGGGAGGGGCGTTCAGTCCCAGCTCTGTGACCTCAGGAGAATCATGTCTCCTCTCTAAGCCTCCTTTTCCTCCCCTGTTCAGTGGTCAAAGAGAACAATCCGGCCCTGCCTACCTTACTGGGTTATTATGAGGCTCAGGGGAGATAAAGAATCTAGAAACCCTTTGTAAATTATCAAATACCGAACAAATAAGGCATTGTTCCTACTACTGAGTAAATTACCTTGACAAGTGTTAGAGACCTGCCCCTTTAATCTCATAGAGCTTCTCTTTCTAATAACCTTTTGTGTCATTATTGCACTTTAAGATTTTCAAAGTACTTTTATTTGTATTGTGTCATTTGCTCCTGACACCATCATTGTGTGGGTGGCTGGGCAGGGCTGCCCCTTGCTGGGCATATAAGGGCACAGGCTCAGAGGGGTGAAGTCACCATGAGTCCCGGCATCAGAGGTCCAGCATCACGCGGCATATTGTGGCTGAGCCAGGCCTGAGCTAGGGTTTCCTGACTCCAACTGGGGACCTGCTCCCAGCTCTTGGGGCTGCTCTGCTCCCAGCATTGACCAGCTGTTGTTCTGTTTAGATTCTAAACCTTCAGAGCCCACAGACAGGATCTCCTTTAGGGGGATTCACTTCTCCATAGCAGTGAGCATGGTCTTTGGGTGCAGCTAATTCAGAGGACACTTGAGCCTTTGCCAGTGAGACAGGCTTGGGTTGTTTGCTTGTTTGTTTGTTGAGACAGAGTCTCACTCTGTTGTCCAGGTTGGAGTGCAGTGGCACAATCCTAGTTCACTATAACCTCCACCTCCCAGGTTCAAGTGATTCTCATGGCTCAGCCACCCAAGTAGCTGGGATTACAGGTGTGCACCCCCACGCCCAGCTAATTTTTGTATTTTTAGTAGAGATGGGGTTTCGCCATGTTGACCAGGCTGGTCTGGAACCCTTGACCTCAAGTGATCCACCTGCCTTGGCCTCCCAAAGTGCTGAGATTACAGGCGTGAGCCACCACGCCTGGCCCAGGTTTGGGTTTTAAAAATCGACTCAACCCAGGCTCGTGAGTTTGCCAGGCTCCTTTATCACTCCTTGTGATAGTGGTCAGCAAACAGCCAGGTCACAGGTGTTCATTTTGGACCATCTTGGAAGCCTTCCTCCAAGTGTGGTTCTAACCATACAGGCTGCAGAATGCCTAGGGACTCCATAAAATTCATGGCTCAATCTCACAGCTACTGAGGGTTATTGGTATCCAGGGTTAGCGCTAGGCAAGGAAATCCATGGGTGTTCCCTGACCTGGAGTTGCTCACAGTTGGAGAAACAATACCACACATGAGGATAACAGCAAAGAAGGTGGTACGAGGGCCCTGGATGAAAGATGCTATGAGCTCTCAGAAATGCAGAGATTGGGGCTGGGCATGGGGCTCACGCCTGTAATCCCGGCACTTTGGGAGGTGGAGGCAGGAGGATCACTTGAGCCCAGGAGCTTGCGATTGCAGTGAGCTATGATTGCATCACTGCATTCCAGCCTGGGTGACAAGATCGTCCAAAGTCAAAAAAGAAAGAAAGAAAAAGAAACAGAGTGCTGGGCGTGATGGCTCACACCTGTAATCCCAGCACTTTGGGAGGCAGAGGCAGGAGGATCACCTGAGGTTGGGAGTTTGAGAGCAGCCTGACCAACATGGAGAAACCCTGTTTCTATTAAAAATACGAAATTAGCTGGGTGTTGTGGCACATGCCCGTAATCCCAACTTGGGAGGCTGAGGCAGGAGAATCGCAGGAGGGAGATGTTGCGGTGAGCCGAGATCGCGCCATTGCACTCCAGCCTGGGCAATGAGAGCAAAACTCCGTCTCAGAAAAGGAAAGAAAGAAAGAAAGAAAAAGAGAGAGAGAGAGAGAAAGAAAGCAGGAAGGAAGGAAGGAAGGAAGGAAGGAAGGAAGGAAAGAAAGAAAGAAAGAAAGAGAAAGAAAGAAGAAAGGAAAGAGGGAAGGAAGGAAGGAAGAGAGAAAGAAAAGAAAAAAGAAAAGAGAGAGAGAAAAAGAAAGAGAGACAGAGAAAAAAAAGAAAGAAAGAGAAACAGAAAGAAAAAGAAAGAGGCCGGGCGCGGTGGCTCACGCCTGTAATCCTACCACTTTCGGAGGCCAAGGCGGGTGGATCTCCTGAGGCCAGGAGTTTGAGACCAGCCTGGCCAACATGGCAAAACCCTGTTTCTACTAAAAACACAAAAATTAGCCAGGCATGGTGGCATGTGTCTGTAGTCCCAGCTACATGGGAGGCTGAGGCCAGAGAATCACTTTAACCCAGGAGGCGGAGGTTGCAGGGGGCTAAGAACACGAAACTGCACTCCAATCTGGGTGACAGAGTGAGACTCCATCTCAAAAAAAAAAAAAAAAAAAAAAAAAAGGAGGCTGGGCGCAGTGGCTCACACCTGTAATCCCAGCACTTTGGGAGGCTGAGGTGGGCGGATCACAAGGTCAGGAGATCGAGACCATCCTGGCTAACACGGTGAAACCCTGTCTCTACTAAAAACACAAAAAATTAGCTGGGCGTGGTGGCGGGCGCCTGTAGTCCCGGCTACTGGGGAGGCTGAGGCAGGAGAATGGTGTGAGCTTGCAGTGAGCTGGGAGTTGGAGGTTGCAGTGAGCCAAGATCATGCCACTGCACTCCAGCCTGGGCGACAGAGCGAGACTCTGTCTCAAAAAAAAAAAAAAAAAAAGAGAGAGAGAAAGGAAGAAAGAAAAATAAGGGAGGGAAGGAAGGAAGGAAGGGAGGGAGGGAGGGGGAAAGAGGAAAGAAAGAGAGAGAGAAAGAAAAGCAAGGCAAAGAAAGAGAAAGAAAGGAAGAAAAAAAGAAAAAGAAAGAAAGGAAGGAAAGAAGGAGAGGAAGGAAGGAAGAGAGAAAGAAAGAAAGAAGGAAGGAAGAAAGAGAAAGAGAAAGAAAGAAAGAAAGAAAGAAAAGAAAGAAAGAAAGAAAGAAAGAAAGAAAAAGAAAAAGAAAGAAAGAAAAGAAAGAAAAAGAAAGAAAAGAAAGAAAGAGACAAATAGAGCTCTCTGGGACTCAGAGGCCCTGAGGAAGCTTCCTGGCTGAGGATACCACCCCCAAGTGGTCTCCAAGTCAGCCTGAAACATTCTTGCTGTTTGTGAATCACACTGGGAAACCGCCCTTGCAACATTTCAGGAGGCAAGAGCCTGGACCTTGGTCTGACTGCTGATTGACGGTGAGTCAGGGACCTTGGTCTGACTGCTGATTGACGGTGAGTCAGGGAAAAGGGCATCGGACAGGCAGCCGGGAGACGCAGGGCTTTGTGCCTTGTTCTGCACATGAGCCAAATGAGGAGGACAGATTCAGGCACTTTTCCTATTAAGGTGAAATGCCTGGGAGACCAGAGTTTGGCCCCAACCTTGTTGTCCTGACTTCCCACTGTAGCAGCCTCCTCTGAAATAGGTGATGATTTCAAGAGGGAATGCCAGGCTGGCACTGGCAGTCCCACTCTGAGATTTAAGAAAGAGCAAAGTTTGGCTGGGCGCGGTGGCTCATGCCTGTAATCCCAGCACTTTGGGAGGCTGAGGCAGGCGGATCACCTGAGGTCAGGAGTTTGAGACCAGCCTGGCCAACATGACAAAACCCCATCTCTACTAAAAATACAGAAATTAGCCAGACGTGGTGGCGCACACCTGTAGTCCCAGCTACTTGGGGAGGCTGAGGCAGGAGAATCACTTGAACCCAGGAGGTGGAGGTTGCAGTGAGCCAAGAATGTGCCACTGCACTCCAGCCTGGGTGACAGAGTGAGACTCTGTCTCAAAAAAAAAAAAAAAAAAAAAAAAAAAGAAAAGAAAAGAAAAGAAAGAAAGGAAAAAAAAAAAAGAAAAAAGAAAACAATATACAAGAATATCTTTGTGACCTTGGGGTACAGGAAGAGTTTTTAAGCAAGATCCAAAAAGTGCCAAGCCAAATAAAAGATTGATAAATGTTTCTACATTAAAATTAAGAAATCCTGGCTATAAAAGGGCACTATGAACAGAATGAAAAGTCAAGCCACAGAGATGATGGTTGGAATGCATATAAGCAACAGAAGGCTGAAATCCAAAATAAGCAGTAAGAAAGGCAGGCAACTGAGTCAAAAAATGAGCAATGACTTGAACAGGAAATTCACAGAAAATATGGAAATGCCAAAAAGCATATGAAAGAGTGCTCAATTTTATTTGTTATCAGGGAAACCTAAATTAAAAGCACGAGATACCAAATATCTAAAACTAAGAATGACATTACTAAGTATTGGTGCTGATGTGAAGCAACTGGACCTCATGCACTGCTGGGAGTGCAAATTGTTATGCCCACTTTGGAAAACAGTTTGACACTATCTGAAGTTGAAAATAATGCATTCTCTGTGACCCAGCTATTCCATTCCTAGGTATATACTTGTTATGGTCTGAATGTTTGTGTCTCCCTAAAATTCATATGTTGAAATCCTAACCCCCAAGGTGACAGTATTAAGAGGTAGGGCCTTTGGAAGGTGATTAGATCATGAAGTCATAGCCCCCGTGAATGGGATTAGCACCCTTACAATAAAAGAGGCTGAAGGAACTTCTTTGCTTGTTCTAGCATATAATGACACAGTAAGAAGGTGCCATCTATGAAAGAAGCAGGACACCAGTCACCAAATCTGCTGGTGCCTTGATTTTGGACTTCTCAGCCTCCAGAACTGTGAGCAATAGATGTTTACTGTTTATAAGTTGCCCAGACTATGGTATTTTGTTACAGCAACCAGAACCAACTAAGACAATACCGAACAGAAATGTGTTCAACTTACACAGGGGACATGGACAAGAATATTCATGGCAGCATAATTTGTAATAATCCCAAAGTGGAAACAACCCAAATGTCCATCAGGAGCCGATCATGGGTAGTATATTCATAAAATAGGATATTATATAGTAATAATGAATGGACTATAGATAAAACAAACACAGATAAATCTCTCAAATAAAAAGAAAAAAAAGAGAAAGAAAAGAAAAAAGTTAGGTACATGGCTGGGCGCTGTGGCTCACACCTGTAATCCCAGCACTTTGGGAGGCCGAGGTGGGTGGATCACTTGAGGCCAGGAGTTCGAGATCAGCCTGGCCAACATGGTAAAACCCTGTCTCTACTAAAAATAAAAAAAAAATAAATAAATAAATAAGGAAGGAAAAATAAAAAGAAAAAAGCCGGGTACAAAAGAATACACACTATATAAGTTTACATGAAGTTCAAAAGCAGGCAAACCAAAACCATAATCTTTAGTTGATAAAAGAACAAAGAAAAGGTAAGAATTACCAGAAAAGCTAGGATAGTGGTTACCTTTAACGAGTAAGGGGGAATTCCTGACAGCAGAAAATCCTGCAGGGGGCTTCTAGGATGGTGGCAATATCCTATTTTTGGCCTGGATAATGGGCACATGGATATTGTCTTATAATAATTCTGAGCCAGGCATGGTGGCTCACACCTGTAATCCCAGCACTTTGGGAGGCCGAGGTGGGAGGATCACGAAGTCAGGAGTTCGATACCAGCCTGACCAACACGGTGAAACCTTGTTTCTACTAAAAATACAAAATTGGCTGAGCCTGGTGGCGCACACCCGTAATCCCAGCCACTTGAGAGGCTGAGGCAGGAGAATTGCTTGAACCAGGGAGGCAGAGGTTGCAGTGAGCTGAGATTGGGCCATTGCATTCCAGCCTGGACAACAAAAGTGAAACTCCGTCTCAAATAATAATACTTTTTTAAGCCGTGTGTTTATGTACCATGCACCTTTCTGAATGTGTTTTATTCAATTAAACTATGTGTAATTGCCAATATGCAGTCATTTCTTTTTTTTTGCAGATTGCAGATCACAGAACTTTATTAAGATGAAATCACTGCGAATTACACAGAAGCTACCAGACTAAGCCAAAATCCATGAGGTTCATGTGAACTTACAGTTACAGAAATAAGAAACAAATGGCATATCCAAAACCATAAGGAAATATCCTGATGCCCAGGTGATGAAGCCTGTGGGGAATAAGTCCACACATTTATTTCAAGTTGTTAAAGAGTTTGTGGGCCACGCAATGGTCCGTTGCATGCAAAAAGTCAAAGAGCTCCTCCGTGCAATCCTCTTCTGTATGTGATTGAGAGGATACACACTCATCACAGAGCTCCAGCCACTCCTGGGCCTTTACACATTTCTCCAACTGCTGGCATTGCTCTCTCACTGTTGTTAGGGGATCCTGATGTAGAAACACTAATTCCCCCTCTTCTTCTTCCTCCTCCTTAGGATCTCCAGACTCGGTCAGCATCTTTCGCTCGTCCTCCAGTCCTATGTCTGGCTACGGTTCTGGATTCAACACGAGCAGCAACTGCGGCACCTAATCCACTTCAGGATCTAGAAGGACTTGTAAGAGTCACTCAGCTGATATCCGGCGATCTGGCCTGAAGTCAATATGCCGTCATTATTAACCTACAAAATGAGAATTCATGTGATTCAACCCAGTATTTCACACACACACAAAA